>NC_000006.12:3696363-3847878 GCF_000001405.40 Homo sapiens | reverse complement strand
CAGCAATATTGAAATTAGGCCAATTAATAACCCTACAATGGCCTCTAAGTGTTCAAGTGAAAAGAAGTGTCACACGTCTCTCACTTTAAATCAAAGGCTAGAAATGATTCAGCTCAGTGAGGAAAGTATGTCAAAAGCCAGGATAGGCCAAAAGCTAGGCCTCTTTTGCCAAACAGTTAGCTAAGTTGTGAATGCAAAGGAAAAAAATCTTGAATGAAACTGAAAGCGCTTTCCTGGTAAACATATGAATGATAAGAAAGCAAAACAGCCTTATTGCTTATATGGAGAAAGTTCTAGTGGTCTGGATAGAAGATCAAACCAGCCACGACATTCCCTTAAACCAAAGCCTAATCCAGGGCAAGGCCCTAAGTCTCTTCAATTCTGTGAAGCTGAGAGAGGTGAGGAAGCTTCAGAAGAAAAGTCTGAAGGTAGCAGAGGTTGGTTCATGAGGCTGAGGAAGGAAGTCACCTCTATAACATAAAGTGCAAGGTGAAGCAGCAAGTGTGATGGAGAAGCTGCAGCAGGTTATCCAGAAGATCTAGCTAAGAGCACTGATGACGGAGGCTACCCTAAACAATACATTTTCAATGTAGACAAAATAGCCTTCTATTGGAAGAAGATGCCATTTAGGACTTTTATATCTAGAGAGGAGAAGTCAATGCCTGGCTTCATGGCTTCAAAGGACAGGTTGACTCTCTTGCTAGGGGCTAGTGTAGCTGGAGACTTTCAGTTGAAGCCAATGCTCACTTACCATTCTGAAAATCTTAGTGCCCTTAAAAATTATGCTAAATCTACTGTGCCTGTGCTCTGTAAATGGAACAACAAAACCTGGAGGACAGCACATCTGTTTACAGCATGGTTTACTGAATATTTTTAAGCCCAGTGTTGAGACTTACTGCTCTGATTATTCCTTTCAAGATATTATTACTCATTAACAATGCACTTGGTCACCTAAGAGCTTGATGGAGATGCTCAAGGAGATTAAAGTTGATTTCATGCTTGCTAACACAACATCCATTCTGCAACCCATAGATCAAGGAGTAATTTTGACTTTTAAGTCTTATTATTTAAGAAATACATTTCCAAAGGTTATAGCTGCTGTATGTAATGATTTCTCTGATGGATCTGGGCAAAGTAAATTGAAATTTTTCTGGAAGGCATTCACCACTGTAGGTGCCATGAAGGACATTCACAGTTTTTGGGAGGAGGTAAAATATCAACATTAACAGAAGTTTGGAAGAAGTTGATTCAAACAGCATTACATGTTACAAAGAAATCTTTCGTGAAAGGTAGAATCAATCAATGTGACAAACTCAATATTGATTTAAGAAACTGCCACAGGCCCAGCCTTTGGCAACCACCACCCTGATCAGTCAGCAACCATCAACACTGAGGCAAGACCCTCCACCAGCAAATAGAGCACAGCTCACTGAATGCTCAGAGGATCATTAGCATTATTTAGCAATTAAGTATTTTTAATGAAATTATGCACATTATTTTCTTAGACAAAATGCTACTGCACACTTACTAGACTATAGTATAGTATAAACATAACTTTTATATGCACTAGAAAATTTAAAAATTTGTGTGACTGTCTTTGTGGTGGTCTGGAACTGAACCCACAGTATCTCCGAGGTATGCCTGTATTCTTGTTCTTGTCTAACTTCTATACAATATCCTCAGAGATCTTCATAAAAAATGAATCTGATAACATTACTCTCCTACTTGAAAAACTCCAACTTCCCTTGTAACAGCCACATCAGAATCTCTTTGTTTGTCCTCTAAGGTCTCTAATAGGTGGACCCCTGCAGCATTCACCCAGCTTTTTCACTGCGCCTGAATAGAAGATGCCCTTTCAGGCCAGGCGCAGTGGCTCACACCTGTAATCCCAGCACTTTGGGAGGCCGAGGCGGGTGGATCACGAGGTCAAGAGATCGAGACCATCCTGGCCAACATGGTGAAACCCCGTCTCTAATAAAAATAAAAATAAAAAAAATTAGCTGGGTGTGGTGGTGCATGCCTTGTAGTCCCAGCTGCTCGGGAGGCTGAGGCAGAAGAATTGCTTCAACCCAGGAGATGGAGGTTGCAGTGAGCCAAGATCGCACCACTGCACTCCAGCCTGGTGACCCAGAAAGACTTCATCTAAAAAAAAAGTTGCCCTTTCATAACTGTTACCTCTGGACGTACTCTTTCTAGAAAGTCCTGCCCTTCGCTGTGCTATCCCTGAAGATCAGCACAAATGTCATCTCCAAGAGGAAGCCTGGAGCACCCACCATCACCATCACCACCCACAGATGGACAAAATTACCAATAGTCTCCTCTCTCAGGTTTCCCATATAATTACCTTTATTACACTTAACATAAATAAGATAGCCTCTCCACCTCTTTTTTTCAGTTAAATGATCCAACCAACTAAACTTTAATTCAATCGACTATCGTTTGGCCACAAATACTATATTCACTCTTTCTCTAATCGAATCAGAACTTGAATGTCAATATCATCCCTAAACCTTATCATCCACCCTCCCATTATCCAGCATCCACCTCCTGAACTCAGTCACGGCCTCCAAATACTATAGCCAGCTCCCAGAATTAAAAGGTTGAGCCTCAAATTCTCAGAAAAGTTTAACAAGAAAAACAACTAGAAAGAAGGAGATTTATCCTAAAAGTCTGATATACTGTTCTGTAGAATTTTCCCCTAAGTTCCAAGATGATAACTTCCTCTTTCAGCCTTAATTCTCAGCGAAAATACCCACAAAACTAAAAGCTACTGCTTTAAGCTCTTAAATTTTATCAGCAAAATGAGGCTGAGGACCCGAGCCCACGCAAATGGTGAAACTTTAAGAAAGAAGAATAAATAGAACAAAAAAGAATGATTGTTCTAGTTATTCTTCCCTGATTGAGACATTATGGTTTGTTTTTCCAATAGGTTTTGTCATAAAGGAGGAAATAGGCATATTACAGAAAAGTTTGAAAAGAAATGTAAATAAATAAAAAGTTCACTCAACATGAACACATAAGTAACATAACTATTAATGTTTGCAAGTTCCCTTCCAATATTTTATGTGCACATAGATCTGTATATATTTAGCAATTTTAATCAAACTTTGCATCCCATTTGATGACTTTTTTTCCATTTAAGTTTTTTTTTCTGTTTTTGTTTTTGAGACGGAGTCTGGCTCTGTCTTCCAGGCTGGAGTAGTGCAATGGTGCGATCTCGGCCCACTGCAACCTCCGCCGGCTGGGTTCAAGTGATTCTCCTGCCTCAGCCTCCCGAGTAGTTGGGATTACAGGCGCCCACCACCACGCCCGGCTAATTTTTGTATTTTTAGTAGAGACGGGGTTTTGCCATGTTGGTCAGGCTGGTCTCAAACTCCTGACCTCAGGTGATCTGCCCTCCTCGGCCTCCCAAAGTGCTGGGATTACAGGCGTGAGCCACCTCGCCCGGTATTATTCTTGTTTTTATATAATCATCATAGTCATTGATTTAAATAAATGTGGTACATTCTATTGTTAAAAAATAAATAAATAAATAAAAGTATCAATAGCAATAATACAACAGAGGAGAGGGAGCAGCATTCTGTTCTAGTGACTCAGAAATGCCGATTAAATACACAAACTAATTTAGAAAAAAATGTGCCCTCCTCCAGGCTTAGTCACAAAGTAAAATATGCAAACAGCATCAGTGTTTTAAAAATCTCACAAAACTAAAACTTAAACTATTTTAACAAGAGAAAAAGAACTTAGTTTTCAATACAAGCAACAATAACAGACCCCCGCAAATAACACCTTTTGTCATGGTCGGTTTTCATGTTGCTTTCCACCAGTCTGAATTCTATTTTAAACGGATTATCCTACAAGTGGCAGATATACTGTCCTCTCCAGAGTCAGCCTTGAAATGAAACAGCTGATGGTGGGCCTGGCCTGGGTGTAGGGCGTGCCCCGATAGCATCTCCACTCAATGATCCCTCCAACACCACCACAGTATCCTGAACCAGTTGTCAAAGCAAAGCCACAACACCTCACATCAACCAGGTGCCAAAAAAGAACTAGTGTATGAATTCAGAATTCCGCCACCAGACCAGAAGTCCTTCAAAGGATATCTAGATAATATTATTGCACGCTTTCGAATAAAGGGTTTAAAAATGTCTTCCAACCTTTGCTTGGTGGAAAGCCAATATTTTGGCATGCAATCAGGTAGGGGTAAGGGGAAGAACCCTCACATGTTCAGAGACAAGGAAGTACAAAATATACTAGAAGGGAAAAGCTTGAACAAGAAACCTATGACTTCTATATGTGTTCCCTGGGGGAAAAAATCCACACCACGTGAGAGAGAAATGAAACCTAAGAGATGTCACAATTTCAAAATAAATGCTGCACCATAAATGTCTCTGAGCTGTAAGACCTCATTTTTTTCTTTCATTTGTATCAAAGTAATACATGTTTGATAAAACGGTTTAAAAGAATGGAACATGGTTTTATATTCTTGGTTTAAAAAGAAAAGTAATCCTGAAAGGGTTATTTTCACAAACAAAAAAGCAGTTTCCTGTCTATTTTTCTCTTCCCTGGAGGCAACCACCTCCAGTCCTTTCAGTTGCTTCTTCTGGTGTTTACCTCCTTATTTTCTAATAATTCTTACATTGCTATGTTGTGACTAATCAATTTTAAATTTTATCTACTGACTTTTTGGTTTGGTGGATGAAGATTTAATTTTTCATATGATAGATTGAAATGTCTGGCCAGGTCATTTGAAGAAGAGTGTATTATGGATGCTGTCAATTTCTAAGCCAGATAGGAAAAATGCAAGAAATTAAAGTACACGCCAATCCTAATTATAAATAGAATGGCAAAATGCCCAAACAAAATATTAACAAATGGAATTCAGCAGTTTATGAATACATACATGAAAATGGACAAAATAGGCTTTTCTCAAAGGTAGCTCAACACTAGAAATCTCTATGTGTGTAACTTACCACACTAATAACATCTCAATCCCTGCAGATAAAATATTAATTGCGAACTAGAGTCCTTCACTTGATGAAAAGTATTTTTTAGAAACGTACAGCAAATGTTATTTTCATAATATGCTTTTATGTCTTTTACAGTTTTCTCAAAAATAAAATTATGGGGTGTTTTCACCAGTATGGGGCTTACTACAGCTGGGTGAAGGTAGCGAGTGTCCCACAGGCACCTTTTAGGAGAAGGGCAGATAGGGAGAGAAGCTCTGATGCTCTTTCAAAGGGTGGAACATCTTTTGTTTTGAAGTGGCAAAGCATCACCTGAGGGATAGCTTTTAGAATTTTTACCAGGGAAAAGAGGGGCATGACAGAAGCCAGGGGCCAAGGGGAGTGGCTAGGAGCTCATGCCTACATAGAAAAGAGTATGAGAAAAAGTCAGAAGCCTGCCTAGAATAGCACATGTACTAAATGTATCAGGAATGTCCCCCTCCCACTGTCCTCTTAAAGGAACGTAGAAGATGAAAGTGTTGTTTTATGTAGAAACACGTAGAAAGCATTACAGTATGACACTGGCCAGTTTTTCCAGGACCCTTCTTTTTTTGGAAAGTGCTACGGATGTGGCTTCGCACACTACGTTTCACAGCTGCAGCCCATGGAGGCAATTTAAAAATGTGTGTTGAAGCCAGCTCTGGCTCTCTGGCAGTCCTCTCCTCTTGTTTTCAATACTGCCCTTAGCAAAGATGATTGGTATCTAAACACCTCTGTGCTCTTCTTCCTTCGTCAAACTGAAAGCAGGTGGTTCAGGTCCTGGGAAGGGAACAATGGTGGGATTGATGATTGCCTTGAAATTTTTATTTTCCTCCCAACTTGGAGTGATCCTGGGTGAAGCGCTCTTCTGCTGGGGCAGCAGCTGCTGCTCTGCTGGACCTTTGACTGGGCTCAGGGATGGCCACAGTGCACACTGCTCACAGCCAACACTGAGCACCTGGCAGAACATCACCAGTGTCACAGAGGCCAGCAGGCCAAGGGACAGCCGGGTTTGCAGCAGGCAAGGCTGTTCCTGGAGCTGCTTTCCAGGATGACTGCTGCAGGATTCCTGGATAATGAGACTCGTAGAGGGAGGCCACCCTGAGGCAACAACTTCTTGGCACTTGAAGCAGATGATGAACAATTGTCTAATAAGTTCAGGAATTGAAATTCTAAGATAGGAAAGTGCTTTAGAAAATGCCTGAACCTAGTGTTGACTTTGGGTAAGCAAGTGAAGGACCAAGCACTCTTGGGGAACCCTGAAGACAAAACAAATCAGAGAGGTGCTGGCTGTTATCTCATTTATGGTGTTAAAATGTTCATCAGTTATTTATGTTGTCTCTGACAACGTTATAACAATAAACAGAGATAGAATGTGCTGTTTGACTCTATGTACATTTGTTCCCTTCACTTTCAGCCCTTTTGTAGAGAACACCCCTCTATGGTCTCCCCTGTGACTGTGACTACCTGCCCAGGGAACCACCGCCCTGGAGCACCCTGGAACTTTTGATAAACCCACTGACACCCCCAGCTTCATGGAAAACCAGACCACTTAATAATTTTCCCAGAGCTATCGTGATCCTCCAGGGACCCACCAGCCCCAGGGGAATTGCATTATCATCTGTGGTTGCCAGTCTGTATTTTACTTGGCTCATCACTTTTAGGGTTTATTCTTTAAACAGCTTGTAAACATGGAAGATACTGCCCCAGTGACAGGAGAGTTGTGCAATGTATACACAGGACAATTCTTGTTGCGGCTCCTAACAGGTCGGACCTACGGCCCACCGTCTCCATCTTTTAACTATCTGCAGACTTGTATTTTTTGTTAGAAGCACCATTGATTGTGGTAAGAAATCCACAAAAGAAGAAACAACTTCGTGGTATATATTCTTGCCATTCATTGCTTTAATTTGGGGCCAAATAAATAAAAAGACATGAGCTGGTTGCTTAACATTTATCCCTAGTTACACTTTGAGCTAGGCTTTACCCTAAAGCTTTTTTTCATTTCTTATTAAATGTACATACAGCAGCACCATTTGCTGTTTTTGGTATATAGTTATGTAAGTATTGACAAATGCCTGGACACCTGTAATTTTTGGCAAGGTCTAAATCATGCTCATCTTTCACTTTGATTTCAAAGGTGCTGTTCAGGGCACACGTGGCAGAAAATCCGTTATTTATTCCAGTTGACCCGAGCTTCAAAAGCACCCACTGCACCCTGTGAGCTCATTTGCTGATGCTCCAGCGTTGGGCATTCTGCCTGCTGAGGTCCAAAGAACGTGTTCCGGCCTTTGAGTGGTGCTCGGCTCCGTTCGTTGGAGGCGGGGCAGGTGCAACACACCAGCTGGTTAGATCCTGGACTCTGTTACATGCCGTGACTCCACAGCCCTGGGTCTATGCTATGTTTTTTTTGTTTTTTTGAGAAGGAGATTTGCTCTTGTTGCCCAGGCTGGAGTGCAGTGGCGTGATCTCGGCTCACTGCAACCTCCGCCTCTCAGGTTCAAGCGATTTTCCTGCTTCAGTCTCCCGGGTAGCTGGGATTACAGGCACCCCCCACCATGCCCAGCTAATTTTTTGTATTTTTAATAAAGACGGGGTTTTGGCAGGACGTGGTGGCTCAGGCCAGTAATCCCAGCACTTTGGGAGGCCCAGGCGGGCGGATCACGAGGTCAGGAGATCGAGACCATCCTGGCTAACACGGTGAAACCCCGTCTCTACTAAAAAATACAAAAAATTAGTTGGGCATGGTGGTGTGCGCCTGTAGTCCCAACTACTCAGGAGGCTGAGGCAGGGGAATGGCGTGAACCCGGGAGGCTGAGGTTACAGTGAGCCGAGATCGCGCCACTGCACTCCAGCCTGGGCGACAGAGTGAGACTCCGTCTCAAAAAACAACAAACAAACAAACAACAACAACAACAACAACAAAGACAGGGTTTCATCATGTCGACCAGGCTGGTCTCAAACTCCTGATCCACCCGCCTCGGCCTCCCAAAGTGCAGGGATTACAGGCTTGAGCCACCGCTCCCGGCCCTATGTTTTGTTGTGTTGCCGTTTATTCAGAAGAAACTCTTGGCCTATGACTTCCTGGCTAGCACGTCCCAGTGTCTTGGTTGATATTAATAGTTTAACCTGGGGTATGGGAGGGAGGGAGGATGATTTATTGATGACTGCTGTTGCTCTCCTATGGGAGTATATGTGAGGTATTGCTGAAGTCTTGCCATGAAATACTTCTTCACAGAATATTTTAACAAAATTGAAATATAGCAAAAATAGCAATGTTTTTGGTATACAGTTCTATGAGTTTTGACACACACAAAATCAAGTGATCCCCACTATAAGCAGGAACAGAATGGTTCTGCCATCCCAGAAAACTTGTATTATCCCTTTGAGTCACACTCTTTCCCCATCGCTGCCCCTGGCAACCACTGATCTACTTTCCACACCGCTGTAGTTTGGATATTTGACCCTCCAAACCTCATGTTGACAATGGATCCCAATGTGGGAGGAAGAACCTAGTGGGAGATGTTTGGGCTGTGGGGGTGGATCCCTCACGAATAGATGAATGTTCTTCCTGGGGGAGGAGATGAGTGAGCTCTTGACCTGTTAGCTTCTGAGAAAGTTGGTTGTTAAAAAGAGGCTGGCAGCTCCCCCTCTCTCCTTTTGCGTCCCCCCTCACCATGTGACCTCTGCACATACCAGCTTCCTTTTGCCTTCTGCTTGAGTGGAAGCAGCCTGAGGCTTCCGCAGAAGCAGATGCTCATGCCATGCTTATTATACAGCTTGTAGAACTGTGAACCAAATAGACCCCTTTTCTTTATAAATCACCCGATCTCAGGTATTTATAGCAACACAAACTGACTCTGATGCATACCTATATTTTTTGCCTTTTCCAAAATGTCACATCATGGAATCATACAATATGTACATTTTAAGTCAGAGTTATTTCACTCCAGTATAATGCATTTGATTGTCATCCATGCTGTTGCATATGTCAGTAGTTCATTCCTTCATTCTTTTTTTTCTTGTGTGTGTGTTTTTTTTTTTTTTTTTTTTGAGATGGAGTCTTGCTCTGTCACCCAGGCTGGAGTGCAGTAGTATGATCTCAGCTCACTGCAACCTCTGTCTCCCAGGTTCAAGCAATTCTTGTGCCTCAACCTCCCAAGTAGCTGGGATTACAGGTGCCCAACACCATGCCTGCTAATTTTTTGTATTTTAGTAGAGACAGGGTTTCACCATATTGACCAGGATGGTCTTGATCTCCTGACCTCATGTTCTGCCTGCCTCGGCCTCCCAAAGTGCTCGGATTACAGGTGTGAGCCACTGTGCCTGGCCCATTTTTGTATTTTTAATACAGACAGAGTTTCACCATGTTGTCCAGCTGGTCTGAAACTCCTGACCTCAGGTGATCTGCCTGCCTTGGCTTCCCAAAGTGCTGGGATTACAGGAGTGAGCCACCATGCCAGGCCAGTTCATGCCGTTTTGTTGCTGAGTAGCGCCCGATTGTATGGAAACACCACAGTTTATTCCTTAACTTCTTGATGGACATTCTTTCCAGTTTTTCTTTTTTTTTAGTTTTCTTAAAAAAGATGGGGTCTTGCTCTGTTGCCCAGGCTGGAGTGCAGTGGTGCAATCATAGCTCACTGCAACCTCAAACTCCTGGCCTGAAGTAATCCTCCTGCCTTGGCCTCCCAAAGTGCTGTTATTATAGGCATGCACTACCAGGCCCAGTCCCAGCTTGTTTTCATTTCTATACCTATAAATAGGATTGCTAGGTTATATGGTAAGTCTTTGTTTAACTTAATAAAATCTACTAAACTGTTTTCTACAGGGACTGTATCAGTTGTCATTCTCAGAAATATATGAGAGTTCCAGTTCCTCTGCATTCTTGTCAGCACTTAGTGCTATGGTTTTAAAGTCCTCTAAAAGTTCACGTGTTGGAAACTTGGTCCCCAGTGTGGCAATGTTGAGAGGTGGAACCTTTGAGAAGTGATTGGGTCATGAGGGCTCTGCTGTCATGAATGGATTATTTCATGGATTAATGGGCTAATGGATTAATGGGTTATCATGGGAGTTGGTTAGTTATCACAAGGGAGGGTCTGTTATAAAAGCCAGTTCAGCTCTCTCTTGTGGCCCCCTCTCTCTCTGTGATGTCTTCTGCCATCTTGTGATGCAGCAAGAAGGCCCTCACCAGATGCCAGTGCCATGCTCTTAAGACTTCCCATCCTCCAGAACTGTAAGAAATAAATTTCTGTTCTTTATAAATTACCCAGTCTCTGGTATTTTATTATAGCAACATAAAATGGGCTAAGATGCTGGATATTATGCATTTTTTTTATATTTTGGTCATTCTACTTAATAGGTACGTAGTGGCATCTCACTGTGGTTTTAATTTGCATTTACCAAGTGGCAAATGATGTTGAGCATTTTTTCATGTACTTACTTGCTATCAGACATCTTCTTTAGTAAAATGTCTGTTCAGATCTTTTGTTCATTTTTTAATTGGGTTGTTTGTTTTCTTACTATTGAGTTTTGAGAGTTTGTATTGTATTCTGAGTACAAGTCTTTCATCAGGCATGTGATTTGCAATAATTTCTACCAATCTAACTTCTCTTTTTCTTCTCTTGTCTTTTGCAGAGTAAAATTTTTAATTTTGATGAACTTCAATTTATCGGTTGCTCATTTATGGATCATGCTTTTGATATCTTATGTAGGAATTGTTTGCCTAAACCAAGGCCACAAACATTTTCTCTGATGATTTCTTCCAAAAGTTTTATAGTTTACATTTTCCATTTAGATCTGTGGTCCAGTTTGAGTTAATTTTTATATAGGATGTGAGGTTTAGTATCCTTTTCCTTCCATCTAAATGTTGGACTTCCTCTAACATTCTTTAAGTGACTAGTCTGTCACCCAGATTTTCCAAAAGCCTGCACGAAGCCTGTATCTTCTCTTGATAATGCGAATCTATGGTGGAGGCAGAGGATTATTACCCTTCAGAGTGCTGAAGTTGATCTCAGGGACTGTAGCCTGCCTCCCTCTGTCCTTGGCTTCAATACATAGTGTCCTTCAGTAGACTCAGGCTCCTTGGCACATTCTGGGCCACATGTGCAATATAACTGGCTGTCAATGGTGTCAGTGATCATGACACCAATGGCATTGTGCTTGGGGCTTCCCCAAATGCTTCCTCAAAACATGTACAGATGGCCATTCTGATACAAAGAAAGCCCATTTTCAGACACACTGTTCCTAAGATGTAATAGTTCGAGAGTCTACTAACACACAGCCATGTTTTCTTTGTAACCAAAATTAACTTGCTAGATCTTGACTGAGCCAGTGGGATTATCTATAATTGTTCTAGGTATTAAGATTGGGTCTTGGTGTCTGCTAGATGGTGCATACTGTTTTCCCTGGAAGAACTTATTGTGAGTGATGCTAAGGATACTGAGATTCCAGGGGCAGATGAAATGTAAAAGGTGAAAGCTTCCTGCATTTTATCCTTGAGATCGTCCATGCAACCACTATACACAGCTACCATATTCACAGGGTTTGCCTACAAGAGTTGATTGCAATTGAATATTGCTAGAGGGTCTTCAGTAAACTGAGTGTTTTGCAATGATATAGTAATTCTCTATACAAGAATTGCCAAGACCAAAGGCCAGGGGTCTAGGGGACAGGACTAGACTGACTGAATAAGGATGTAAGGCTTAAAACTATTGCTGGGTCATATGGCCTCTTTGCTACTGCTGTGTTGTTTTATTTTTTTCTGCTGCAGGGTCTGGCATGATGTACATGCTCAGAAATGTTTGATGAATGAATGAATAGATGAACGAACAAATATCACATTGATAATATGACACTGTGATACTACTGACACTGACAACACTAGGCATTACAGTAAAAGCATTCAGTGCTACATTTTCACTTTCAATTCTCTATTTTGAGTGAAGGTGTCAAAATTGACTCTTAACAAATCCCTGAAGCTCTGGAATCCTGCAGCTGGAAATGCGGCACCCAAAGACATGGCATGCAGAGTGGAAATAGTCCCGCGTGAGGTTGGGAGTCCACAGTGTCGGGAGAATTGGGTTCTCATGTTGGCATTACTGCAAATTTGTTATAGGCTTAGAGGAAGTTACGTAAGTTTTCTAAGCTTCATTTTTTATCTGGAAAAATTACTTGCTGAGAATTTCTGATCCTTTTGAGTTGTGCAAGGCTAGGATTCAACCAAGAGAACTTTCTCATAACTCATCTAAGTTGATCACAAGACGTGAAACAAGGGAGCCCAAAGCTTGTTTGCGTTGTTCCTCCTGTGGCTTCTTCTCTAGAGACTCCAAACTCCAGTTTCTTGTGGCGGGGGTGGAAGTGGAGAGATGCCAACTCAGCAAAGGCCCTAACTCATGGATCACATCAGACTTTAGCTGTTCATAATGGGGCTGGCTGATGTGTTGTCAAATTAGTCCAAAGTCAAGTCCAAAGGGCAGAGGAGGGATGAGATCAGTTACAAGAAACCCTGGGTTGGGCAATAGTGGGGAAGGAGGCTGTCACTGGGCCTTACAGGCAGAACCTGGCAAAACAGCAATGGCAACTGCACAGGCTTTGAGGAGCCAACTCTAGGACAGTGAACGCTAGAAATGCAACCCCTTATGCTCCCCTGGAGCTCCCTGTGAAATTTCTCCATTTCTAGTGTCCTGGTTGGGGAAAATATTTTCTTCTCTCATGCTCCTCCTCCTCCTTCCTTCCACCCTGCCCTAACACAACAGGACTGTCACCTGCTGGACACTTCACTGACATGCAGAAACCCAGGGCAAGAGGAACGCATTCTACCATCAAGGGGGCCACAGATTACCCAACCTGTATTTCTCTCTGATATCTGTTCACTTATTTTAAAATAAAAATATTTTTGTACTGCTTGAATTTTGTGAAAGCTTTACATAAAACAGCCTCTATGCAGTTCTACACCTGAAAGATAACCATTATTAACTGTTGGCATTTACCTTCAGACTTTTAATGCATATGTTAATTTTAATATAAATGGGATCATTCTGTATGTTGTTTAATATCCTCAAACAATATAGCATACTTCTTTCCATGGTAACACTAAAAGGCCTACCTGATCTTTTTTAATGGTTCCGATATATATTTCAATGTAAGACTATATCAAAATATATTTTACCAGTTTTTTATTGTTAAACATTTGTTTTTATTTTTTAACTCTATAATGATCATTCTTATATATGCATCTCTGTGAGATAATTCTTATAGTGCCTAGAACTTAATGTATATAATTATTAGTAACCTTTTTAAACCTGATAGCCCTTGACTTTGATTTTAACTTTAGCATCTTTTAATATGTTCTTCAAATTGTATGATCAAATCTTTTACCAATTGTTTTCTTATTGATTTATAAGAACTCTTTGTATATTGAGGCTATCAACTGATCTTTCATATAAGCTCCAAAAATTTCCCTCAGTTCGTTACTTACATTTTAACTCTGTGGGTTCTTTTTTCTTTTCTTTTCTTCCTTTTTTTTTTTTTTTTTTGCCATATATCAGTTTTTGTATTTTATTTTTGTATTTTAATTTTTATGTAGCCAAAGCTGACAGTCTTTGCTTTTATGACTTGTGAATTTTATACATATATGAATTTCATACATATTTGAATATAAGAATATATCATATTCTCACTCAGTGTCACACACGTTCACTCAGTTTTATAGGTTTTAAAATGCCTGTTTCTTTTTACATATGTAGTTATTCTTGTTGAGATCTAGTTCTGAACATACTGTCAGTCGGTACCAATTTTTTCCAAAAAAGGGTACTAAATTAAAATAAAAGCTTAGAAATTTTTCTCAACCTGCCCCATGGGTCATAGCTATTCTTGCTAATTCACTGTGGAAAAATAATTTTAAAAATGTTTTTATTCATTTGCAAATTACAAAGCTTGCTTGTATTGTATATTCTATCAGTTGAGAGTCTTTCTGTCCCTGATAAGAGAAAGCCTGACTTTCACTGGTTTAAATAAAATATTTAATAACTCATTTATCTGAAAAGATCAGAGGCCACATGGGCTTTGGATGTGACTTGACTCAACAGTTCAGTCATCTCGCCATCCCTCTTTCTGCTTCATCGTTAGGCTGGCACTCCTTAGGGCCACATGATGATTTCCAGCAATTTCCAGGGGCTACATGCTGTCTTACTTGATTGCTCTCTCATAAGGGTGATCAGATCTGCCAATAAATTTCTTCTTGCTTTTTAAAATCCTCGTAGCCAGGGAAATGAATAGTCCCTTTAGATTAAAAATATTTTATTTAGGGCCTACCCTAAAGCTGGGGGTAGAGGGGAGAATGGTGGTAAAACACAGGATGCACTGGGGAAAGGTGATAGCCATCCAAACAAAAACTGGGATCACATAACCAAGAGGAAGGGAAAATGGAAGCTGAGTGCTGAAATGAGCAAATGCTCACCACACACACACGGTCCTGGTTGATACAAGAACACTGTGAAGATCAGTAGCTGCTAACACATTTATCTTACAGACGAGGATACTGAACACTCCAAGAGGTGTATGTCTTGCCCTTGGTCACTCATCTAGTTGGTAGCGAGGCTCAAATCTAGATCTTATGATTCTAAATTCTCAGCTCTTACCAGTATCCTAAATTACCACCCCACAGGCTTGAAACTACTGCTGAGTATATGGGACTGACTCAGTTCTACAAACCTGTTTTTAAAAATTAAAACGGTTGCCAGGTGCAGTGGTTCATGCCTGTAATCCCAGCACTTTGAGAGGCTGAGGTGGGTGAATCACCTGTGGTCAGGAGTTCAAGACCAGCCTTGCCAACATGGTGAAACCTCGTCTCTACTAAAAATACAAAATTAGCCGAGTGTGGTGGCACATGCCTGTAGTCCCAGCTACTTGGGGGCTGAGACGGGAGAATCGCTTGAACCTGGGAGGTGGAGGCTGCAGTGAGCCAAGATCGTGTACCACTGTACTCCAACCTGGGTGAGACAGAGCGAGACTCTGTCTCAGATTAAAAAAAAAAAATTAAAAAGGTCAAAGGAGATACTAGCTATTCAACATAAGGGTGAGCCATGAAGATTTGATGCTCTTACTGTGGGCAGAACAGCATGTGAGGTTCCACTATGGTGGCACCAAAGAATTAGAGGATCCTATTCTCTCTTAGCCTGGGTTCACCCAAAGAAGTGTGTCTCCGGAGTGTATCTCAGAACTGTGGGGTGGGGAAAACAGGGGAAGCATTGATTCAAGAGCTCCCATCTCCAGTGGAAGATGGTTCCTTCACAGGATGTTGTTACCCCACATTTTTAAGGGGTGTATGAGTGAGTGCCCGGTGGGTTGCCTGGGACACCCCAGCCAGCCACTGCATCTGAGAAGCCAGGGACAGGCAGTGAGAAGAGGCATTCTCAGCGTGCTGCTGCGTGAAGCTGGTTGGATGGAACTGTTCACTGTAGCAGTGGCTGGAAGGAGCAGGGAGGAGAACATTTTAAGTGGGACATGAGAGGTCTTCCTTACATGAATCCATTATAAGCTAACAATACAAAACTCAAGTTAAGGAAGTGATACACACACAAGCCCAAATTCCTCTTTACTTAGTTCATGTCTGATCACTCTTACTTGGAATATTACAACCACCTTCTAAAAAGGTCTTCCTAGTTTCTCTTCATTCAACTACTGCAGTAGTCTTTCAAAAAGAAAAATTTTAAAGTTGTTATTATTTTACTGAAAGGTTCATTACTCCCCACTGCTTCCAGGAATATGTATGAATTCCTTTGCTTGACATTCAACACGCTTCTCAATTGGCTTTACTTTAATTAAACAGCTGTACTTCCCGCAACTGCCCCCAGCTGGACTCAAGCCAGTCTAATTTCCTTACCGTTCGATAAACAGGCCAAGATTATTCCTTCTCAGTGCCTTTGCTAATATTGTTCACTCTAATGGGCAGGGATGATATGCAAAACAGTTACCAACTGCCATGGCAGGCACTAACCAATGAGGGTGGAGACTGAGCCAATCAGAACTGATATCAGGTGTAACTGCCAATATGGGTTGACCAGTTGACTCAGTCCTGCCCCCAGCCTCCATTCACTCTATTGAAATTCCATTTCTTTCAACTTCCATGAAGTTTTCCTGGACTGCTGTTGCCCATGTTGGTTTTTTTTTTCTTTTTTTTTTTGAGACTAATTACTACTTTAAATTCTTGTATCCAGAATCTTATTAAAGATGTTCATGTGATTATACAAGAGCCTGAAACACCACTTTTTGGGCAGCACACTCCTCCTCACCTCTCCATATGGTAACACCTTTGTGATATTTCCTACAGAGAGTAGAAAGATAGAAGTCAGTCTTTCCTACAGCATGGTTGATGAAAAACAGTTTTTATTGTTAATGTTTCAGAAAAGTTTCAGCCTTGAAGATTCATGACTAAAACAATGCATGACTGGTAGTGACATAAATTTTAGAATTTTTGTCAAATACGAGGAAAACCTTTACTAAGTTTCTTTCATGTGTAACTATAAAATTTCAGGGAATTTCAAATATCCTTGAAATGCTCTTTGAATTGCCATTAGATATATTCCTGGAAGCCATCCCAACACCATGATGGCTGGCAATATTTTAACCTGTGTGATAGTTAACACATGGCCCCCCAAATGCTTTGATACTCCCCCCATTGAGAGGTGGGTCTACCTCTCCCTTCTCTTGAATCCAGGTGGGATTGTGACTTGGTTGTAACCAACAGAATGCAAGATCACAAAGGTGAGGTGGCTATGGCTTTGGTCCCTGGAATACTCATCTTTGGTGTCCTGACTCATCATGTAAGAAGTCTAACTTCTCTGCAGCCCCCAAGCTTTGAGGAAGCCTGGGCTATGTTTAGGGGATGCAGCTGACAGCCCTAGCTACAATCGCCACTGGCAGCCAGCGTCAACCACCAGACATGAGTGTGGATGCCTCCATTTGATTCCAGCCCCTGTCAGTAGGGTCACTCCCACCATGGAGTCTTCCCAGCTCCCCAGAAGTTGCTGAGCACGGACAAGCTGTGGCCTGTCCAAATTTCTGTCCCGCAAAATCCATGAACATAATAAAATGATTGCTTCATGCCACTAAGTTTTGGAGCAATACTTACACGGCAGTAGTGACAAAAACAACTATGGGCAAAAGTCACTATGACCCAGGTGCACTTCTAATATTTCTGATGCCCTGGGCTTGAGTACAAACGGCCCACATACACCGCACGCCTAAATGTGTAAAGGCTTTAAATAGCATAAAGAACACTAACGAACGGTTAAGTAAATGTGTTCTCTCCTCCTTCTATGAAAACTATGCCCTTATAATGAGCTTAAAGGCCACGTTTGGATTTAGAATTCCCATGGAAGCCTGGCCTCTCACCTCCTTTACCCACCTAAGGCTTCATCCTGCACTTTGCATCTTGCCAGGCCTCACACATATGCAGACCCGAGTTACATCCATATTCCCTGTAGACAGTTGCCTCTTGGCCACCTCTTGGAGCACCAACAAACTCACTAGAAGTGAAGTTTGTTGTCCTTAGAAAGGTAGATACAGATGAGGGCCCCAAGCAAACTCTGATGCAAACTTCAGGTGTGGGGCAGGAAATTCCAGGATCCCAGATGTGGCGTGGAATCTGGGTCTTGGGCTCTGGGAGCGTCCAATCATTTGGCCCCTAAAACTTCTCACCTTATGCCAGACAATGGCCCGAGGGGAGCGGCCTTGCTGCAGCCGAAGGCACTACTTGTGCTAACCACAAAAATACACCCGTCTCAACTCAAACCCAGTGTTTCCTCAACTCAACTTTCCCTTTGTAGTTTTGCCACACTAGACAAGGCGAAGCCAGAATGGCATGGCACAGCAATCCTAATCAAGGAAAACAGGACAAAACACAAGGCCCCAGGGAAGGAAGGAGCCAAGGAGCTATGGCTTCATTAGCTTCCTGGAGATCCACCTCTACCTACATTTCCTGGTTCATTCTTTCCCTCTTGATAGACACGGTGGGGAAAACAAGATGCTCATCAGATATGTCCTGAGGGTTCCAGGAGAGAGATTCAATGAGTGCAGAGGTCAAAGCTCATGGCTGTCCGGCTGCAGGGACCTGCAAATGTGCTTTTATTTGGCCTGTGCCGTGTTTAATTTTTTTTTTTTTTCTGAATAAGTGGCTAAAATTTAAAACTGGAAGATCTTACATTAGAAACTGGATATCTTGTTTTTCCTGGAAATTAGGAAGATCTGGAAAACTGGACCTGCATTCCCACAGGGCAATAAGTAGCCAGAAGGGATGAGTGGTTGCCCCTTAGATAAGCTCTGAGCTCTGCAGGTCTTCCGGCCTCACCAGCCCACAGAAGCCCTCACACTCATCTTTCTCACTGTCTGATTCCTGGGGTGGTTCAAGCATGCACTGTGTGGGTTGGAGCAATAAGACACGAACCCAGATGTCTACAGAACAAGACAGTGAAGACTAAGTGTTATGCTGCACGGTCGCTGAGCCCATGGCGGAAGCTTCATATTTGTCAAGTGAATAAATGGCTGCAGATATGAAAGACTATAGTGCAGTTTTGGTGAATATGCCAGGGAGATGGAGAGTCAAGCAATAAACTTATCTGTTCAGAATCTTCTCCAAACAGCACATCTCATACAGCTTTCTTCCTTTACTATTTAATCTTTAATATAATACCCATTATCTGCTAATAATAGTAGACCCTACTTCGGATCCTTAAAGGAAGCTTGCACAAAAACTTCTCAAATAAGTGGATAAATGAGAAAGAAAAGGCAAAACTGCAGTCCCATTGGTGAATTACTTCAAATTTGTCATGAAACCTGGGTTTATTTTTATCTTTCTTTTAGACTCAACCGTAGTTTTGTCCATTCTATGTAGCCCTTAAAAAAATAAACACCATAGTATGGTGGTTCCTCAAAAAATTAGAAATAGAATTACCATACAGTTTCAGCAATTCCACTTCTGGGTATATATCCAAAATAACTGAACGCAAGGACTCAACCAGGTATTTACCCACCCATGTTCACGGCAGCATATTCACAACAGCCAAAAGGTGGAAGCAATGCAAGCGTCCATCCACAGATGAATAGATAAGCAAAATGAGGTTCAGCTGCACAATGGAATATTATTCAGTCTTAAAAAGAAAGGACACTCTGACACGTGCGACAACATGGATGAACCTTGAGGACATTATGCTCAGTGAAATAAGCGAGTCACAAAAGGACAAATTTTGTATGATTCTACTTACATGAGGTGCCTAGAGTAACCAAATTGACAGAGACAGAGAGTAAAAGGGTAGTTACCAAGGGTTAGAGGAGTGGGGGATGGGAGTTATTATTTAATTGGGACAGAGTTTCAGTTTGGGAAGATGAGAAAGTTCTGGAGACGGATGGGGGTGATGGTTGCACAACAATGTAAATGAACTTAATACCACTGAAGTGTACACTTAAAAACAGTTAAGATGATAAATTTCATTATGGGTATTTTGCCATAATACAAAATAGGTATAAAACATACACTTGTGAATTTCAGTTTCTCATTTAAAGTCAAAATTAAACACAGATTACTTCCCTGAGAGGATATGGAACAGCTATCAGGGAAGCAGATGGAATGGGAAGATGAAACTCAGAGTTCACTAAGCTAATTGGCCAATTGAGGGGGGACCCATAGTACTTTAAGGTAAGCTACTGTCTGACCTCTGCAACCCTCCAGGCCAATAAACACCTCCTCCCTTTAGTTAGACAAATGCTGGGAGAATCAGAATTCAATTTTCACAAACTTTTTCAAAATATTATTTAAAGAAGATGCAGAAAAGCCAGTTAAATGTGGGTAAGGCTGGCCTAACCAACGTTTTTAGAAAACACTTAGCATTACTTGGTCAAAGCAACATCGCAGCCCAAGAAGACCAGCGTATGAAGTGATAACATCTATAGTTGCAGAGGTCTGTTCTGGGACCAGCCAGGGATGCAGACCCCAACCTGGGACACAGATGAACCAGGAGTGTTAAATAGTAATATTTGCATGAATGCACAGTTAGATAGTGTATATATTGAGTTGTATATTTTCTTTTTTCTCTTTTTTTGAGATGGAGTCTCACTCTGTTGCCCAGGCTGGAGTGCAGTGGCTGATCTCAGCTCACTGCAACCTCTGCTGCCTGGGCTCAAGCAATTCTCCTGCCTCAGCCTCCCGATTACCTGGGATTACAGGCACCTGCTACCATGCCCGGCTGATGTTTTTTTTTGAGACAGAGTCTTGCTCTGTTGGCCAGATTGGAGTGCAGTGGTGCGATCTCGGTTCACTGCAACCTCCACCTCACGGGCGCAAGCAATTCTCCTGCCTCAGCTCCTCTCAGTAGCTGGGATTACAGGCGTGCGCCACCATGCCCAGCTAATTTTTGCATTTTTAGTAGAGATGGGGTTTTACCATGTTGGCCAGGCTGGTCTCGAACTCTTGACCTCAGGTAATCCACCCGCCTCAGCTTCCCAAGGTGTTGGGATTACAGGTGTGAGCCACCGTGCCCGTTCAATTTTTGTAGTTTTAGTAGAGACGGGGTGTTACCATCTTGGCCAGGCTGGTCTTGAAATCCTGACCTCATGATCCACCCGCCTTGGACTCCCTAAGTGCTGGGATTACAGGCGTGAGCCACCATGCCTGGCCAGTTGTATATTTTCATTAGTGTGGCTCTAATAAACATAAATGTCTAATCTTATCATGCCGAACATGATTATACTAAAATACACAGGGAGTTTCTGAAACACATACATGCTTTTTAATAATGAATCTGCTTATTATCGTGTTATTCTCTTAGATCACACAGCACACAAACACTCACAGTCGTTCAGAATCCTTGCCATCAATCTGGGTTCTGACCTTAGCTAGCTGTCCGACCTCAGGCAAGATACCTCCTGGGACCTGAATGTCCTCATCTGTAAAACTGCAACAACTCTATCTACCTGGCAGCATTGTTGTGAAGATGAAATGAGTTAGTGCAAGTAAAGTCCTTTTTAAAGCTGGGTCTATCACATAGTAAGTGCTCAATAAATTTAGCAATATGTGTTTGTGAGCAGGTAAGAGCAGTATCTGGATAGCTCCTGTCTCTGACCCACCCGATCCCTTCCTCGTATTTACAAGTCATTGATATTTTAGTTTCAAATTCATGTGTCCAAATTCTTTGTTAGACTTTTCCTTTCCTATTAGCCCTTTCACTCCAGAGCAAGGATGGTAAGACGCTCAGGGAAAGGTTGTGATGTGATCACAGATTGCTGTCTACATTCACACTCAGCTAGGGTTACTTGCAGGAGAAACCTGCCCCTAAGCACACAGTCCACGTGTGCCAGGGGTGGACGCACACAAGGGCCCTGCTGCCACCATGGCTGGGACCTTGCCCGCCTTGGGCACAGGCAGGGCCCAGCTTTTCAGATGAGATCACCAGTGTCTGACCCAGGAGCCAAGTGCTCAGGCCAAAAGACTCCAAATTAAGCCAGCTGAGGTGCTTTCTTTTGAGATGGGAGAACATGTGTTCCATTCTTAAGGGGAGAAAGCAACTCAGGACTTCATGTTTTCATTGTACTTGGCTCTCACTGCCTCTAACTCCAGGCGTTTGTGGAACAGGGAAATGAGCTCCGAGTCAAATGATAAAGCTGATATGATTCATGTGTCTTTCAGGAGGAAAGAGACAGGAAACGGAGGCCTGGCTGCCTGGGCTGTGACGTTGCCCCTCTGGCATGCTGTCCGGGCCTGGAAAAATGCAGCTGGCACTGCCTTGAGGATTCGGAGCAGACAGGAGTTATGTGGTTGCTTGGCCAACTCCCGAGTACAATAAACTTAATCTTGGAAGTCTTACTCTCGAGGGTGAGGAAAGGGTGAAATGTCGGTATGTAGACTCTGTCGCCAAGAAGCACAGGAGAAATGAAAGAAGAAACAAATCCCTTCAGTTAAAATGCCAGTGGAAAAACACTTCTGAAAAACAAACACCGAGAAGCACAATGTGTTTTTATGTGCTTGAGATTTTTTAAAAACGAGTTTTGGAAAATAGTCTCTTGATGTTTACATAGTTCCCCGTGAATAAAGGGCAACTGGGAATTTGGACTGGCCTGGCTCTCAAGTAGGGGTCCGCAACCTGCAGCCCGAGGGCCCGTCGGTCGCTGCTGGCTTCTTTCTATGAATGCTGCCCTACTGAACACAGCCGCGCCCCTCCGTGACCTGTGCCTGCGGCTGCTCTCATACTACCACGACAGAGCGGTGGGGGGCGTTGCAGCACTCACCTCACAGCACACATACATCAAAATAGTTACTGTCTGATCCTTTACAGAAAAAGTTGACTGATCCTTGGTCTAAAACAGGAGAGGGAAGTACTCACTCACCTCAGTGCCCATTTCATGCAGAGCTGCAAGAGCTCTCTGCCCTACCACAGTGCGGCCACCTAATTGTCTCTCCTTGGCAGAACACATGCTTGGCTGGCGGCTGTGGGGAGGGCAATCTGGCTAAATAATGCATCAGCAGGGCTGCCTCTGTTCTTAGTTTTCCTGCAGACTTTGCTGGGTCATGCAGCTAGGTTAGATTTCAGAGGGTCCTGCAGAACCACACTGACTTCTAGTTCCCTGTCTCCTTGTCTGTAGGCCCTGTGAGTGCAGGGCAAGGCCAGCTCATTTTTGCATCTAATTTGTACCATAGAATCGGTGCTGAATAAATGTTTTTTTTTTTTTTGAGACAGAGTTTCGCTCTTGTTGCCCAGGCTGGAGTGAAGTGGCACCATCTGGACTCACTGAAACCTCCACCTCCCAGGTTCAAGCGATTCTCCTGCCTCTGCCTCCCAAGTAGACAGGATTACAGGCATGCACTACCATGCCTGGCTAATTTTTGTATTTTTAGTAGAGATGGGGTTTTACCATGTTGGCCAGGCTGGCCTCAAACTCCTAACCTCAGGTGATCCACCCGCCTCAGCCTCCTAAAGTGCTAGGATTACAGGCTGAGCCACTGTGCCTGGCCATTAAATGTGATTTTAAATAATAAACAAGTGCACACACACTAGATTACATTTTCAGAATTACCAAGTGAGTGGGAGTCTCAACCCCATCTGTTGAGACCTTATCCCACGCAGACTGTCCAGAACCTCAACCCAGCAGGGTTCGACCCAGATATGAGGGTTGCAGGGCAGCTACAAAGGTAGCCCCTCTTCAAGCCAATATACGTATTTTTACATTAGTCCACATTATTTAGTGGGAAGAAATAAATTTTCTTTTAGTAAAACTTGGTAAAAGATATATCTTTTACCATATATCATACCAAGATACCATATATCTTCCTTTCCATCAAGGGCTTTATCAGCACGTTGAATACAACAGAACATCTCAACGTGCTGAGTTTGGAATTGGCTTTCAGTTCACAGTTTTTCTATCACTTGTGACTAGATTATGATTCAGTCATTCACACCAAGAATTGAAATAACAATCTAATTCAACATTGATTTAATAATTATTAATTGTTCTTCCTGGCCTTCATTACCCTAAAAACATGTTGCTGTTGTTGTTGTTTTTTTCTGGAGGCCTTATTCTCTTGAGTTTTCTTTTGCAATTTTCTGAACACAACAATTTCTTGGTTACATGTTAAATACTTTGAAATTTATGCAATAAAACAAAACCGCGCAGTCCCAGGAAACATCCCTCTACAGCGCATTACTTGGTTTCGGAATCTCGTTGACCATGGGGTCAGCTTCAGCAGGCTGGTTTCAAGTTTGGTGTCGGGAACCCAGGGGCCGCCCCCTTCAATATTTCCCCAACTAAGAAAGGTGAGCACAGGCAAGGGGATCTGTCTTGCTTCCTCTTCAAGGCTTGACTACTATGGTTGGTATAGGACAGGCTTATATTTAGCCATTTATCTAATGAGTTGTATGTGGAAACCTGAATTCATCAACATCCCGGTTGTGATGGATTCCAGTAAGGTTCGAGCACATCCATATTCCTGGTGCAAGACAAGTCTCCTGAGTGTCCCGCCTCCTAATCCCGCTTAGCTGCCTCACTTCCTTCCTTCACAAAGATTGAGTCAATTTACAATCTTAGAGCAACAGATCACCACAGAACAATAATGATAGTAATGATGGCTCCCATCAGACCGTGAGCTCCATCAATAGGGATATCTGTCTCTTTTGTTTGCTCACTGCTAACACCACACTCCAGGGCCCAGTCCAGCACTGCTACGGCCAAGGGAAGTAGAGTCTGGCTAGCAAACCATCAGGTTGCAATAGACAGGCACTCAATAAATACTTGCCAAATGAATGAATTTGCTGAAAGCTTACTGTGGGTAAAGTTCTTTCTGTGTCATTTCATTTAACCCTCGTGACCATTACTGTGAGCAAAGCATTGCTGTATCCATTTAACAGGTGAAAAATTGAGGCTCTGTGTGCAGTTAATTGACTTGACCACATACATTCAGCTGGTGTAAGGGGCACCCAGTTGGACTCAGGCCTACTTGGCGTCACAACCTTTACTCTTTCCACAATGCAACTCAGTCCCTGGGGCCATGCAGTTGGCTCTATTAGGGAATGAATCCTGGTATTCAGACCGGTCAGGCATGGAACATGCCTGTGCAGTTACTGGCTCACCACAAAATATTAATTACCACAGGGGAATAGGTTAAAGGCTATTTGTAGGGTAGCAGGAAGCCTAATCTATTGCCAGCTGCAGATAAAGACCAGCCAGAACTCTAGCATATCACTGGCAATGAGGAGTGGCTTTGTTTGACTCTGTGTGGGCAGGTTTTGTCGGATAGCAAGAGCACCCGGGCTGGTATTGCAGAAAGCAGTGTATAAGGATTCTGTAATCCTACTCTTAATTTGTCTAGTCAAATGCAGGTTTTATAACAGATGGGCTCTGGCTTACGGTCCATGGCCAGACAGGGAGAACTATGTATCACATGTAATGTAGTCCCGTGTGTGAGCGCTCCAGGTCACATAGCACCAGGTCACATGTGCTTCAGGTCAGCATGGCTAAATATGAAAGGACACACACCCAGCTCGGCGCGGTGGCTCCCATGCCTGTAATCCCAGCACTGTGGGAGGCCGAGGCGGGAGGATCACCTGAGGTCGGGAGTTCGAGACCAGCCTGGCCAACATGCTGAAACCCCTTCTCTACTAAAAATACAAAAATTAGCCAGGCGTGATAGCGGGTGCCTCTAATCCCAGCTACTTGGGAGGCTGAGGCAGGAGAATCGCTTGAACCTGGGCGGCAGAGGTTGCGGTGAGCTGAGATCACGCCATTGCACTCTAGCCTGGGCAACAAGAGCAAAATTCCATCTCAAAAAAAAAAAAAGACAAGACAAGACAAGACAAGACACACACCCTACCCCTAGCAGCCAGCACCAGCCAGCTCCGGGCAACATACCTTAAAGCAGAATTCAAAGGTCACTAACATCAGAATCACTGCTGGGGGCTAAGGGCTATTAACAATGAAGACCCTAATCCAGACCCTCTGGGGATGGGTGGCAGGAATCCTGTCTTATTTACAAGCTCCCCAGGTGGTTCTTCTGCATACTAAACCATAAGAACCACTGTTCATGGACTTGGGTAGAAAGAGGAGGTTCATTTTTCACTTTTAGATGTATGCAATATTTGGTGCTTTGTAATTTAAAGAGTATAGGTCTGGGGGAAGAAAGGAAGGAAGAGAGCAGAAAAGAAAGAGACGGTATTGTGAGAAGACTCTGTGTGGGGTGCTGGGGTACAGAAGCCACATCCCCTGGACTCTGGATGGTCCCGTTGGAATTGTCTGTCTCTTTGTCCACCTTCACCTGTTTTCCTGCCACACTCTCTGTGCCACTCTCATAGGGCCACACCACCCAGCAAACACCACAACACCCTCCTCTGCCCTCCCCATCCTCCTGGATGCTGGAATTGTCTTTCCCAAGAGACAGACAATCCACATTTCATGAGCAGCAGAGCAGTCAAACCTCCCGAGAATTGCATACAAAGTTGCCTTTTTAATATGAACAAATAAATCCCCAGTCTTACTAGTCTCTGGTTGATGTGGCATGGAGTTTATTCAGTATACTCCATTATATAATAAAGCACACTCCATTTTTTTGTTTGCTTATTTATTTATTTATTCATTTTCCGAGACGGAGTCTTGCTGCCCCCCAGGCTGGAGTGCAGTGGCGCGATCTCGGCTCACTGCAACCTCTACCTCCCAGGTTCAAGTGATTCCCCTGTCTCAGACTCTCCAGTAGCTGGGATTACAGGCATGCACCACCAGGCCCAACTAAATTTTGTATTTTAGTAGAGATGGGGTTTCACCATATTGGCCAGCCTGGTCTCGAACTCCCGACCTCATGATCCACCTGCCTTGGCCTCCCAAAGTGCTGGGATTACAGGTGTGAGCCACCGTGCCCAGCCTGCTTTTATTTTTTTTTAAATGACATTCTCTCACCTCAAAACACAGAAAGAGTACCTTCTGAAGAAGACATTAAATTCTAAAATACTTAGGTTTTCACCGTTTGAGTCTTTAAAACGAAGCCATTCTGGCCCCGGCTTCACGGCAGGGCAGCGGTAGGTAATAATAACACTAAACCCTCTAAACCCTCATGGAAAACGGCAGGGTCTCGCATTTACCAGAAGGGATCGCTTCCCATGCAGGGTTTTCACACTGGCGACCGTGAATCCCAGACATCAGCTGCTCTCAACTTCTCCGCAACTGGCTGCTCAGGTCTACGGATGCCCTATTTATGGATAATAGCTCCCATTTATGGGGTCTCTAACCTGAGCCAGGTACTTGGCGGACAACCCCACAAAGGTAGCCTGAAGACTCTATTCACAGGTGAGGAAGTCGAGGCTGAGGGAGGCTCAGCCCTGTGACCGACCACATAGCTGTGATCAGCCCTTCGTGCCTCCTCCCTGTGCCCTGCTTTGCTGGGAGCACAGGCGTTGGCCGTTACCAGTCACTGCTCTCCGGCAGTCTTCTGGCTGGCTCCACGTGCACTGAAGGGGTTAACACAGCTCACTTACTAGGGGTCTGGCACAGTCTTTGCAGATGTGGTGAGAGCTGGCTGCATGGCTGGGGTCCTTTCCAAAGAGCCAGGACTCATCGTTCACAGCAGGGGCCCTCAGCCCCGGCTGCACGTGGGAATCAGCAAGGGAACATTTAGAAATCCCACCCCTGGTCACACCCAGACCAATTAAGTCAGAATTCCTGGGAATGGGGGCAAGACATCAGCATCTTATGACACTCCAGAGGCCGTTTCAACACAACCAAGGCTGAGCCCCGCTGTTCCGTGCTTCAGTCAGCCCCCCTCCACCCTTGCTACTCCCAGTGTTGTTCATGGACCTCAGAAGGGCATCACCTGGGCACCTGTGAGAAAGGCAGACTCTCAGGCCAGCCCACTATGTGCAGTCAGAATCCACACCAACAAGGCCCCTGGGTGATTCACTTGAACAGTAAGATTTCAGAAGCATAGCTATAGAGGGCTGCTTCTAATATGCTGCAGTTTGAGAATCAGGGTAGATCCTTAAGCTTCCAGATCTGTATGGGGGTGAAGGGAAAGGTGGTGTCTTAAGCCCACATCAAAAATACCTTGGGAAACTGAAGTAGCGGAATGAAGACAATGATTCCCTCCCATGCTCTCCTGAGTCTGAGTCTGTAGCATCCACATATAGGAAGAAAAGCAGGGGTAAGCGAAGTGAAATTATTCACAGGCTAGCAGCAATATCCTGTATTTTTTGCATTAAAAAATAGATTACCTGTGATAACTGGTTATTTTCCTACATCTTATTGATCTATTTCCATGTAACAAAGCAATCTGTAACTTAGTAGCTTAAAATAACCGTGTATTTTCTCACAATCTTGTGATTCAGCAATTTGGGCTGAAATTAATTGGGCTGGGGTCACTCTCGTGGCTGCAGCCACCTGGTAGGTCAGCTAGGCCTGGATGGTCTGCAGTGGCCTCATTCACGTGTCTGGGGGTCAGCCGTGGTGATGGTCAGCTGGGGGGTCCTCGAGGGAGCCTTGGCTCTCCTCCGCGTGGCCAGGTGAGCCTGGGCTTCATAAACAGTGGCAGCAGCAGCAGCATCTGCATTCTACGAGAGCAGGAGTGGAAGCTGCAGCTCTCTTACAGCTTTGCTCAAAAGCTGCACAATGTCACTTCCAGCACATTGTATTCATTAAAGAAAGTCAAAAGCCCAGGCCAGATTCAGGGGGTGGAGAAATAAACTTTCTCTCTTGATGGGAGGAGCTGCTAAGAATTTGTGGCTATTTTTAACCTGTCCCATTTCACCCTTTGGCCATCATTATGTACGTCATTTGCCCCAGCAAAATGCACTCCCCCATCCCAAGACCACGCACTAGGGCGTGGTCATCCCATCACAGAACTAGGCTCAGAACCTGTCATCTCATGCCCTGGAGCAGGTGCAGATATAGGAGAGTCTCCTGGAAGGGTGCAGTTTCTCTTCATCTTGTAATCCAAAAATAAAATCTTAACCCCCTCAACTGACTGACAGACACTCCTGTCAACCAAGGGCATTCCAAAGTTAACCTGAAAAACTAGTTCAGGCCATGATGGAAAGTAAGGGTCAGACATGGTTCACAAACACTAACACAGAGACCTTAAGACTGACAGTGCTGTGACTGAACCACTGCACTCCAGCTTAGATGACGGAACAAGACCCTTTCTTGAAAAAAAAAAAAAAAAAAAAGAAAGAAATTTGGGAGTCTGGAGTTCTCTTTTTAATGTGATCTCTCTTGTTTTCTTTTAGTCTGGGCTGGTGGTGCCTTCATCAGGACAACTCTTTTAAGACTGTGTAGGATTCCCATGAATCACATAGGGTACATTCCATGCCCCAAAAGCCACACTATCCATTTGTTTTGAGACAGATCTCTTTCTGTTCGTCCATGTCAGGCCACTCTGAGACAATGCCTTAAAGCTTAGCTGAATTCTACTTTCTAACCCACTAAGTCCCGAGCCCTCTACGGTTCTAAATTCTGTTTGCAAACTCAACAGTTTCTTCTTAGCTCATTTCTCTTTTGCAGTGTCTTATATTCTGCTAAAAACATTCACGTGACTCTCAACATTCTGTGTTAGAGATGTTCTTAACCAGAGCTACAAATTTAATAAATACGGTTTTTGTTTTCTAAGTTACCACAGGTGACATTTTCCCAGTTGTTCTGCCACGATATAACATGTGTTGCCTTTTTTTCCAACCTGAAATAAGAATCTCCTCACTGGTTTTTCACCCTCCATGAATAGTCTGTCTGTCATTGCTCCTCACAGCCTCCTCACTTTTCCAGACTCAGGCTAACTAGTCCCAAAGATGTCATGTACATGCATTTTTTTCTTCTTTTTTATGCCAGCATCTCAATTCCAGAAACAATTTCTGTGATGTATCATCGCTGCCTGGTAGGCCATACCATACCAACATTTAGTCACATAAAGCAATTGTTATTTACTTGCTAAAGATTCTGCTCTCTGATCTGGGCTCAACTGGGTGGTGGTTCTACTAGTCTTGTCTGGGGTCACTCATGTGGCCACAGTCTTCTGGAGGGCCAACCAGGCCTGGTCTAAGACACCTTCACTCGCATGGTCGATAGTCAGCTGGGGCTGTTAATTGGTTTATCCAGCAGGCTAGTCCAGGCTTCTTATGTGCAACAGCAACATTCCAAGAGAGCACCAGTGGAAGCTGCAAGGCCTTTTGGGTCCTGTCTGGAAGCTGCACAGCATCACCTCCACCATATTCTACTATCAAATCAAGTCATGGATTCAGAGAATGGAGAAAGAATTTGTGACCATTTTTATCCTACTAGACCTTGGAAAAGGAATTATTTCTTAATAAATATAATTTGGCAGACAAAACCTCAAATCACGGGGTTCAAGAGTCAGTAATTGTAAGCAGGTGCTTGGTAATAAATGTTGAGAGCCACAGAGACTCAGGGAGTGGGGACATGAGAGCCCTCCTAAGAGGGAAGGGTCAGGTGGGAGAGAGGGCAAGACACCTGCATGAGAAGTGGATTCATCTGCATAATAACAAAAGCAGCAGCAACAATGCAATAATAATAACCTCTGCTAATATTTACTTAACACTGAAGATGTGTCAGGAACTATGCTAAGTGCCTTCATATGCGTAGTTTCACTTAATTCTCATAACAAACCTTAAGCACCTTTTTTTTTTTTTTGACACCGAGTATCGCTCTGTCACCCAGGCTGGAGTGCAGTGGTGCAATCTTAGTGCAGTCGTGCTCACTACAACCTCCACCTTCCAGGTTCAAGCGATTCTCCTGCTTCAGTCCAAGTAGCTGGGATTACGGCGCCCACCATCACACCTGGCAAATTTTTCTATTTTCAGTAGAGACGGGGTTTCACCATGTTGGCCAGGCTGGTCTTGAACTCCTAACCTCAGGTGATCCACCCACTTTGGCCTCCTGAATGCTGGGATTACAGGCGTGAGCCAACACGCCCGGCCCAAACCTTAAGTACTTTTGTCAGCCCCACTTTACGGATGAGAAAAATGAAGCTTAAAAGGTGAGAGGTATACCCATGAAGCCTCCAGAGCCAGTAAGCGAATCTGATGTGTGCTTCCCCATGCGTACTGTGGCAAAAGCTTCTGATGGTTGGTTTATCATATATTTGGGCAATTCCGCAAGGATTGTTATCTTAGCAAAGATTACTCTGAATGATCTGATATTTGATACAAATGAAAGAGAAGTACAATCTTCCTGGGAATGTGATGTGTTTTTCACTGGTTCTAATTCTGTCTTCCTAACAATTGAAGACACCAAATTATGATTAAAAAATCCCTCTGGAGACCAGGTCTTACCACAAGCCAGCAATCAGACCTGGGAAGGTTATGCACTCTCTTTGGATCTTTCCTGTAAAATGAAAGGGCCATGATTAGGAGACGTCTAAGACCTATCCAAGTCCTGATGTGCTGTGATATACACACACATATATTTGTGTAATATACATATGATATACACACATATGTGTGTATGTATATATCACAGCATATTACACGTGTGTGTGTGTATCACAGCATATCAAGACTTTTTTTTCAGATGAGGTCTTGCTGTCACCCAGGCTAGAGCCCTGTGACAAGATCTAAGCTCACTGCAGCATTGAAATTCTGGCTCAAGCAATCCTTCCTCAGCCCCCCTAGTAGCTGGGACCACAGGTACATGTCACCACACCTGACTATACTTTTTTTCTTTTTTGTAGAGATGGGGTCTCACTATGTTGCCTGGACTGGTCTCAAACTCCTGGACTCAAGCTATCCTCCTGCTTTGACCTCCCAAAATGCTGGGATTACAGCCATGGGCCACACCCTGCCCTGTGATATGTTTTTTAGCATTCAAATGACTGCTTCTGTGTTTCAAGCCAGTAAATCCTGACTTAGCTTTGATTATAGACATTGTGGCCAGCAGCAGTTGCTTCCTTGCAGGATCCTGATAAACAAGACTGTCAAGACCCAGAAAGGAGGACGCCCTTGGGCATTTCAGAGCAAGGCCAGAAGTGTTAGGGTTGGATCTCATGTGTGCATGTGTGTAAGTGCAGGCACAGGTGCGATGAATGTATTGCCCTGATATATTTAAGACTAGAAGATATGCCAAAACAATGTTATCAAAACTGTGACATATTATAAATGTTTGCATTTGACATTCAACAAATGAATACACTCACACCATGAAGTTTCATTTATGTCATTTAGTTTTAAGTCCGATGTCAGGTAAGGCCTAAGCCCAATGGTTCTCCAGCTGCTTCCTGTCCACCTGCACCCTCTCCATCCCGCACATGGCCCCATGGGCAGAAAGTGGAGGCTGGCATCCCTAATGCCTATTGGCATCTAAGGACAATCTCTCTATACTCCTTTAGCTTGAGGGCAGGAGAACTTGATAGATTTTAATATATTAAAACCAAATCTATTGGAACCTTATAGAATCATAAATCTAATTTGTTTAGAGTTTTGGAATGCAGGGGTGTGTGAGTTATTGGTTTATTCAAGTACTCATTCACTTGACAAGTATTTATTAAGCACACAATAAAACATTAGTTCATGGCTGGGCACGGTGGCTCATACCTGTAATCCTAGCACTTTGGGAGGCCGAGGCAGGTGGATCACGAGGTCAGGAGTTCGAGACCAGCCTGGCCAACATGGAGAAACCCTGTCACTACTAAAAATACAAAAATTAACCAGGCGTGGTGGTGAGCGCCTGTAATCCCAGCTACTCTGGAGGCTGAGGCAGGAGATTCACTTGAACCCGGGAGGCAGAGGTTGCAGTCAGCCGAGATCATGCCACTGCAGTCCAGCCTGGGCAAAAAGAGCAAAACTCCATCTCAAGAAACAAACAAACAAACAACAAACAAACAAACAAAAATTAGTACAAGACTAAAAACCAGGGTTCATCCACTTACAACATATTTGATAATTCAGGGCCTCATCCTGAAGCGACCTGGATTGGTGTGTGACTGACACAGTGAGATATGCAGCAGCAGGATGATCTGCACTCTGTGACCTAGGAGAAATAATGCCACCTCCCTTGGCCTCACCTCCCTCCAGCTCTGAAAGTCTATGAGTTGTGAGAGTTGGCTTCAGTTTCTGGTTTCCAGCTTTAGGAATCTATCAGTTTTCTATTTTCTATTTTTTTTCTATTTTCCCCTGTGGGGCTGCTGTGAGCATGCCCTAGGCCAGGATTTGGAAGTCACTGATGGACTCCCAGAGGAACTGTCTGGCCCAGTGAGCACTTGGTTGGGTCCTCATTTGCTTTTGTGGCTGGCACAGTTGGGCTGCAAGGCAGGGCTGAGCTGAGGCATACAGCAGTGGGCAGCTTCTGCTGCCTTCAGGAGCTGAGTGCTATGGAGATTTCTGGAGGGGAAGATCTGGGGTGAATCAAGGCCATACAATTGCCGTGTTGAGTCTCCTATTTTTCTTTTAAAACATTTTAAACTTATATATTGACAAATTGTAGTTGTATATATTTATGGGGCACAAAGTGATGTTATGATTTTGAATACAATGTGAAATGATTAAATCTAGCTAATTAACATCCATCACCTCAAATATTTGACATGTTTTGTGATGAGAACATTTGAGATTTACTCTTAGTGATACTGAAATGTACAGTGCTCAATTAAGTATATTCACAACATTGTGCAATCAATCTAAAAAAAAATTGAACTTATTCCTCCTAGCTACTTGAGACAGTGTACCCTTTGATTCTTGTCTCCCCACTCTCCCAGCCCAGCCTCCCAGTAGAATGGTGGCCACCATTCTACTCTCTGCTTCCATGAGTGCAGTTGTTTTCAATTCTGCTAATTCGCATGCTTGCTCTCCCATTTAAACTCCAACACGGGAGAGACCCTTTTCTCTGCATGGCAGCTTGCGTCTATCATCTGTCTACCCATTTGTCTACCAATTTCTTTCTTTTTTTCTTTTTTTGAGACAGGATCTCACTCTGTCACCCAGGTTGCAGTGCAGTGGCGTAATCATAGCTCACTTTGGCCTCAGAGTCATGGCTTTAAGTGATTTTTGCACCTCAGCCTCCCTAGCAGCTGAGACTACAGTCATGTGCCACTATGCCTGGCTAATTTTTAAAATTTTATTTTTGTAGGGACAACAATCTCACTATGTTGCCCGGATGGGTCTTGAACTCCAAGCTGCAAGTGATCCTCCTGCCTTGGCCTCCCAAGGTGCTGGTAATGGCAGTGGTGGGTGGGCCGTCTAGAGCTGCTGCTGCCGTCACGGCTGCAGCGGGAGTGGGGGCAGGGACCGTGGCGGCAAAAGCGGCTGCGGGAGCAGCAGTGGTGTTGGTGGGACCCCTGTTCCCCATGTCCCCGGTGCCCTGTATCCCCAAGGCAGCCGATTGCCCCACTCCCACCCTCGCATGGCCAGGCAGGACCCACTCCCAGGCCCGGAGCCTCTGGCATGGCCTCAACCTCACTCCCTGCTGCATCCTGGGAGCCCGCGAACACCCATCCAAGGGCACAGAAAAAGACTTTAGAATAGACTAAAAGTCCGTAATCTATAAAGATTGAGAATAAGACATAATCTTGGGGACCAGTGACCATGGCTTTTGTTTTTCCTTTAAGAAGGGTCCAAGTTCGAGGCATGGTGACTTAGCAGGAAAAGTGTCCCTCCACAGAGAGGTAGGAGATAGGACATGAAGCCGTTGGTGGAGCCTCTGTATCTCTTGGGACTTCCTTTCCTTCTTCCACAAATTGTAAAAGACCAGCAGGAGGGCCTCACCTAGCAGTGGGTTAGAAATGCAGGATCTCAGGCCACACTCTGGACCTACTGACTCAGTCTGCATTGTAACAAGACCCCACGCCATTCTGTGCACTTTGGGTTTGAGGAGCGAGCACTGGTCTAGAGATTTCTCAGGCACTTTCCAGTGCAAATTTCCTGTCGTTCTAAAACCCCATGGGTTGGCGTGCCCCACTGGCCAGAAGGTGAAAACACATTTTGGGAGCGCTATCTCTGGGACAGTGACAAGGGTGCTTCCCCCAGACGACCAGGGCTTCCCCGAGCTCCTCCACCCCAGGGCTGCTATTTCAGGAGCTCTCCTGCTGAGTCACCAGAGGAAAGCAGCCAGGGGAGGAAGCAGCCGTATCCTGTGCACTCGGCTGGACCAGCGAGGGCAGGTGACTCTGGGGGGCCTCTCCCTTGGCGGTGACTCCATGCAAAGGTGGAGAGCCGTTCATGAAACCCTGTGATTGTATCTGTTAGGCAGGAAGGAACTTATATTTTTCCTATTCCTGTATCCCTGGTTTCTGGAAATTTCCCCATAGTGAGAAATTAGAGGGGATTAATTTATCTTTTCTCCACTCCATCTGAGTAAGCCCTGGAGTGAATACAGAGCCTTAACCATGGAAAGGAGAGATGGGGAGAGGCCCCTGCAGCAGGAGTCAGTAGATGTGGATTCTCATCCTGCCACCCACGGTGTGATTTCAGGTAAATCCTAGGACTCTCTGGGTTCAGATTCCACACTGGTAAAATGCTTCAACCATCTCTAGGCCCTGCCCCTACACACAGTGGATGTTGGAATGCAGCAAACCTTTTACTTATTCATCTGTTGTAATTTAATGTTTTATATAGAAATATATCACGTGATTAAAAACCCAGATGTTCTAAAAGCTGTAACTTGAGAATTGCTCTTACCCGTTTCTTCCTCACTGCTGTTCTCTTACAGGTAATGACTTCTATGAGTTTCTTACATTTCCCTTTATTGAAGCACAAGCAAATACAAACACATGTTCTTGTTTCCCACCCTTTTGTACACAAAAGTGGCTTACTATGTGCAGCATTCTGTATGTTTTCTTGCTAGCTTACAGATGTATATTGAAGATGGCTCCATATTGGACCATTGGAATTCTTTACTCCTTTTTCTGTCATATGATGTCCATTAAGCTTATTTAGCTAGTTTAACGTGCTTGTTTATCTAGTCCCCTATTGATGGCTACTTGAGTCCAATGGAGCTAAATTCTATGTGCTCTATTCACTTACTGATGGCTGGAGGAAGGCAATGCTCACTATAGGAGAGGCACTATCTCTCTCTTTTTTTTTTTTTTTGGAGACAGGGTCTCGCTCTATCACCAGGCTGGAGTGCAGTGGCACAATCTCAGCTCACTGCAACCTCCACCTCCCAGGTTCAAGTGATTCTCCTGCCTCAGCCTCCCGAGTAGTTTGGATTATAGGCGTGCACCACCACACTCGGCTAATTTTTTTATATTTTTGGTAGAGACAGGGTTTCACCATGTTGGCCAGGTTGTCTCAAACTCCTGACCTCAAGTGATCCGCCTGCAGCCTCCCGAAGTGCTGGGATTACAGGCGTGAGCCACTGCATCCGGCCAAGGCACTATCTCTTTAATCCTCACAACAGCCCTGCAAGGTAGACGTTCGTTATGAACTGCATGTATCCCCCTAAAATTCACACATTGAAGCCCTAACCCCCAGTGCGATGGTGTTTGGAGACGGGGCCTTTGAGAGACAGTCAGGTTTAGATGAGGCATGCAGGCAGGGTTCCCATGATGGGATTTAGTGCTCTTATAACAATGGATACTGGAGAGTTTGCTCGCTCTCTCCCTGCTTCCCAGTCCGCCAATATGTGGGGGCACAGCAAGGATATGGCCACTTACAAGCCACAGAGAGGGCCCTCGCCAGAACCCAATGCTGGCAGCCCTGATCTCAGATTTCCGACCACCAGAACCCTGAGAATCTGCTAGCACCTTGACCTTGGGCTTCCCAGCCTCCAGCACAGTGAGAAATCACTTTTTGTTGTTTATAAGCCACCCAGTCCATGGTAATTTGTTATAGCAGCCCAATGCGCTAAAACACTGGCTGACTGCCCACAGTTGCAGTAAGTAGGGTGAGGCAGCATGGTGGGGTAGAAGGGAGGGCCAGAGTGGAGCACCCCACCAAGCGTCCTGCAGCTCCTGCATCATATGCAGGATGTGCTGAAGTTCCTGCCTGACCCATGGAGGAACCCAGAAAGTAGCCAGCTGGAGGGCTGGCACACATAGTGATGGCAGGGTGACCCTGCATCCCAAGGCATCACAAGGCTGCATTGTGGACAGCCTTGGCTAGGAGCCACATGGAGGGCACGGTAGCATGAAGAATGCCAGTGTCTGTTTTGTGCTCTAAAACAGAATACCTGAGACTGGGTAATTTATGAAAAACAGAACATTACTTCTTCATTCTCCTGGAGGCTAGGAAGTCCCAAATCAAGGCGGTGACATCTGGTGAGAGCCTTCTTGTGTGTCCTCACATGGGAGAAGGTGAAAGGGGAAGAGAGAGTGAACCCACTCCCACAAGCCCTTTTTAGAGCTACATTAATCCATCCATGAGTGTGGAGCCCTTGTGACACAACCACCTCCCAAAAGGCTGTAGCTTCCCACATTGCTGCACTGGGGATTAAGTTTCCAACACGGGAATTTAAAGGGACACGTTCAGACCATAGCAACCGGTGACAAGTCTGGTGTTGCCCCAGAGCATGGCAAAAGAGGGCAGCGGAAAAGTTGAGCTGGAGCAGGACGCAGAACACCCAGGGACTGTGAGTGGGCAGTGTTCACACCATGGAGGGCAGGCCACAGAGAAAGCTATGACTTGGGATGGAGGCAGAGGCGCCAGGGGCAGCAAGTGACACAGGAAAGCCCAGCAGTGGCAAAGGAGACCCCACGCAGATCCCGGGAAGGCTGAGGGAGAATGGGTCAAGCCATTGGGGAACAAGGTGTCCATCCTGGGAACCGTGATGGGAGCAAACTTCCTGGGAGCTCAGTTAATAGGGCTGAGAACTTAGGTGTAAGAAATACGGCAAGATTCAGCTACTAAACTCAGGGCCTGTTTTTGTTGTTGTTGTTGTTTGTTTGTTTGAGACGGAGTCTCACTCTGTCTCCCAGGCTGTAGTGCAGTAGCGCAATCTCAGCCCGTTGCTGCCTCTGCCTCCCAGGTTCAAGCAATTCTCCTGCCTCAGCCTCCCGGGTAGCTGGGATTACAGGCATGTGCCACCACACCTGGCTATTTTTTGTATTTTAGTAGAGACGGGGTTTTGCCATGTTGGCCAGGCTCATCTTGAACTCCTGACCTCAGGTAATCTGCCTGCCTTGGCCTCCCAAAGTGCTGGGATTACAGACGTGAGCCACCGTGCCCAAGGGCCTGGGCTTTGAATGAAGTCCCCTAGGCTGAGATCAAGACTATAAACACAGAGCTTGCAAGGAGGGGTTAAGGATAGCTGCGGCTGCGGCGGGCCGAGGAACATGGTGGGTGGGCAGTGTCGCCGAGAAGGCCTGCTTTTCTCTCCCCTGCCCCATGGCTATGTGTAGTTGGGGACTCCTGGCCACAGGGAGTCAAGCTGTAACCTTGACTAGGTGGCCTGGTGGAGTGCTCCAGTATCAGTTTTGGGAATGGGCATGTAGCAATGCACTGAAGCAGGCTGGACAGTCCAGGTGATGACCACACAGGTCGAGTCCATCCTCTAAATCTGCAGGTTCCACATCCTCAGATTTAACTGACCACGCATAAAAAATATTTGGGAAAAAAATTAAAATAACAATACAATAAAATTAATACAAACAAAAAAACACAGTATAACAATTATTTACACAGCATTTGTGTTGTCTTAAGTATTAGAAGTACTGTAGAGATGATTTAAAGTATACAGGAGAGCACTGTGGGAGGCCAAGGCAGGAGGATCACTTGAGGCCAGGAGTTCGAGAACAGCCTGGGCAACATAGCAAGATCCCATCTCCACAAAAAGTACACAAATTAGGCAAGCATGTTGCTGTGGGCCTGTAGTCACAGCTACTCAGAAGGCAGAGGGGGAAGGATTGCCTGAGCTCAGGAGATTGGGGCTACTGTGAGCTATGATCACACCACTGTACTCCAGCCCAGGGGATAGAGTGAAATCCTTCTCTAAAAAATAAAAATAATACATAAATAAATTAATTAAATAAATAAAGTATATAGGAGGATGTGCATAGGATGTATGTAAAGACTCTGTGATTTCATAAGCATCTTGAACACCCATAGTTTTGTATCTGCACGGAGTCCTGGAACCAATCCCCCTGGGATGCTGAGGGATGTCTGTATGTTCCCTCCAGCCATGCTGTACAGCTTGGGTAGCCTGAATAATCTCCCCTGTGACGCTACAGAACATTCCCTTAGCTCCCCAGGGTTGGAGAGGTTCTTCTCTACACCTCAGGGTCTCCCTGTGGCTGGCTGAGGAACCAGCCACTTCTTTGCAGACTGACAAGGGGCTTGTCCTGCAGGCAAAGAAGCCTATTATTTCTCTCTGCAGCTGTCCAGAGAGGCACACCCAGCTGGACACATGCTTCTCTGCTTAGTCACCAGTGGCCATACCCTAGCTTGGCACAGCTGGAGCCTCCAGGAGCCCAAACAGAAAACTCATCTGCAGACCGCACCAGCTTCACAGGCACCAGCTCGGGAGCTGAGAACTTGGCAAAAACAAGCACTGTAGTGAGTAACTGCAGCAAGCACGTGTGCACGCACACTCACGTACTCACACACACATGTGCACACCCAGACACACTCATGAAGCCATTCTGGTCAGCCCCAGATAGCATCATGCTGAACAGACACTGCCCCCTGCCCTGTCTGCTGAGCTCTTCCTCCTGCCAGAGCCCACTAGGCTGGCCTCCTCAATGCATTGCCAATCCTACAGCAGGTTCACTTGCTTTTTCATGAATCTACTAAATTGTTTGTCCTCTGGAGTTGTATTTTGACTTTGAAGCCATAATATGCAAGCAATACATTCTCCAAACACTATGAAAACGTGTTTGTATGTGGCTTGGTTCTAGTGTCTCTGCTCATGGACAAACTCTTCCGACTCACAGACTCTAAGCTGAAAGGGCTCAAAGAGTGATGTCCAACCTTTCTTTACCATAAAGAAGACTGGGTCCCAGATGTGTGGAAGGATGGCCTCTTCTATCCATTCCTTTGAAAATAATGAATCACTCTTTCTAACACAGGAAGACATTACTATAATCTGACCCAGCGACTGGGTTCTGACCCTTCACCCATTTCTGTTCAACTCCCTCAACCTTTTGGGAATTCCTGGCTCAGGCTGCCCACTCCCACTTGCTACTGGACATGTTTGTAATCAGCTTTCATCCGCCTCCCCCTCCCCACCCACCTGGGATCCTGCCATTGGCTTCCCTCTTGAAGCTTTCATTTATTCTACTTATAACTCCTAAGGAGATGCTGCGGCTTCCAGACTTTCTTATTATTGTAAAAAAATTGAGTAATTCTTACTTCATCATTTTGGCAAACTTTAGGATAATTTTATGGTAATTTCTTCCATTAAGATCTGTTCTTGCAAAGATGTATCTGCATGAGTGATGGCTCACCCCTGTAATCCCAGCACTTTGGGAGGCCGAGGTGGGTGGATCACCTGAGGTCAGGAGTTTGAGGCCAGCCTGGCCAACATGGTGAAACACCGTCTCTACTAAAAAATGCAAAAATTAGCTGGTCGTGGTGGTGTGCGCCTGTAGTCCCAGCTACTTAGGAGGCTGAGGCAGGAGAATTGGTTGAACCCAGGAGGCAGAGGTTGCAGTGAGCCGAGATTGCACTGCTGCACTCCAGCCTGGGTGACAAAGCAAGACTCTGTCTAAAAAAAAAAAAAAGTTCAAGTACTTTCTAATGGAAGTGTGTCCAGGCTGTGGGGTGGGGGAGACACAGGGGAGGAGGTGTGGGAGGAGGTGGCGGCTGTGTGGTAGGAGTTGGGGGGCAGAAGGAAGGCTCTTCTTGCCAAGGTACTATGAAGCCCAAAACACCGCTATTAAAATATGGGTATGAAGGCCTAGGCTTGACTTTGGTTCAAAGTTTTTTAGGAAGTAATTGTTTGAAATTCAAAAGCATTTTCTGTAGAAACAGTATCATAAATGGAAGATTAACTTTTCAAACAAACCCACAAAAATGTATTTAATCTTTTTACTAATTATCTTTTCACTACTATCTTTTTACTATTTAATTGCTAGCTGTGTCAAGTAGCGCTTTGACATCTGCCTCAGTTTCCTCATCTGAAAAGTGGGGACGCTGATATAGATGCCTGTCTCAGGGTTATTGGGAGGATGACATGGATTTATGTGTGTAAAGTTCTTCTCTTTTCTTTTTTTGAAATGGAGTCTCGCTCTGTCACCCAGGCTGGAGTACAGTGGCGAGATGTCAGCCCACTGCAATTTCTGTCTCCTGGGTTCAAGCAATTCTCCTGCCTCAGCCTCCTGAATAGCTGGGATTACAGGCAACTGCCACCATGCCCAGCTAATTTTTGCATTTTTAGTGGAGATGGGGTTTCAGCATGTTAGCCAGACTGGTCTCAAAATCCTGACCTCAGGTGATCCGCCCACCTCAGCCTCCCAAAGTGCTGGGATTACAGGCGTGAGCTACCGCACCCGGCCACGTATAAAGTTCTTAGAACAGTGGTAGGCCCATAATTAGGTTTACATTTATTGTTATTATTACTTGTCGCAAAACTCTAATATGCTTCAACCCCTGCTTTTAGAGCCCTGCTGAGTCTAAGGGGGGCTCAGAAGCCCCAGTGGGGTGGGACTCCCTTGGGAGGGTGAGATTCCAAGGTAGCCGCTGAGGCAGAGACGGCAGCCCAGGGGACACGAGATTGAACTGGCTGCTCCTGCCTGGAACGTTGGTCAGCTGCGTCTGTAGAGTGGAGTCTTCCTGAACTCCAGGGGAGGTTAGTCTTTGGGTCAGACACTTTAGACATGACAGAATGGAAGGGGGTGGGTGTCCTGAGACCTGGCACGGGCCATCGTGAGCAAGTGGGGGCCACTGGACAGGCTGTGAGACGCAGGGCTGTCCCCTGTGTGCCTTCCCAGGGATTGTCCCAGCCCTGCTTTTTCAAAGGCCTTGCTTGACACAGTGGGAAAGTTCTTTATCACTGCTGCGTTGGACTTTGTTGCCAACAGATTAACCCAAGGCCAACTAAGAATTACTGAGAACAAAGTCAAAGGCTTCCGAGTTCCCCAGGTCTCTCTTAGGGCCCTTGTCTTCTCTTTCCACTGCCTTTTGAGTTAAAGAACATAAAGGTGCTGGGCAGGAAGAAAGGAGACCACCTCCCAGAGGAGTGTGGTGTAGAGGAGGGGGATTCCAGACGAGGCTGGAGTTGGAAGACAGAGGGCATGGCCGGGAGGACGACCTCGGCTGCAGCGGTGGCTGTGGAGCCTCCTGGGCTCCTGTCTGCACCCCTGGTCCTGGCTTCACAAACAGCCCTTCTTACTTCTACAGATCATTTTCCTTTGAGCACTTGTCTGGCCCTTCCGTTTAGACTTCCCATTTTTAGCCTGTGTCCTCTTCACTATTATCTTAGGAGGTTTACAAAAGTGAGCACTGTATAATTATGTGTATGTTTATGTGTGATCTGAGTAATACTTTGTACTCTTCACACACACACAAGCTTCTCCTCTGTAATCTGCACATGTAGCAATTCATACTCGTAAACACAACTTCCATGACATCCCGGAAAGGGAGTTGGAGTCATTTCCGTTTTGAGTAGTAGGGGGCGAGGCCTCTGAGGTAAGGATTTTCCTCAAAATTCCTCCCTGAGACTCTAATTCACCCAAAAAGTATTCATTGAGCACTTACTGTGTGCCAGTCCCCACTCTAAGTGCTGGTGATACTGCCATGAACAAAGAGATGCAGTCCCCGATTTCATGGGACATGGCATTTTTTCTAATAAAGTGGCATTTCCTAATTATACAACATGATATTGGACCTTTTCTACACATCTGCGTCCAGCACTGTTAGTTTTTTTGTTTGCTGTAGTGGTTCATAAAAATCAGTGACTACGATTCATTATTTAGGCCAGGTGTGGTGACTCAGGCCTGTAATCCCAGTACTTTGGGAGGTCAAGGCAGGTGGATCACTTGAGGTCAGGAGTTCGAGACCAGCATGGCCAACATGGTGAAACCCTGTCTCTACCAAAAAATATAAAAAATTAGTTGGGCATGGTGGCACGCTCCTGTAATCTCAGCTACTCGGGAGGTTGAGGCAGGAGAAGTACTTGAACCTGGGAGGCGGAGGTTGCAGTGAGCCGAGATCATGCCATTGCACTCCAGCCTGGTCAACAGAGTGAGACTCCATCTCAAAAGAAAAAAAACAAAAAAACAAAAAAAAGATTTTAACAGATTCAATATTTAAAATAGAGGCTTCTCATTTCCTGTTACATCTAGCTTTCATCCATGCCTCCAAGTAAAACTGCCTTGCATTTGAGCAACCATTTATCATCACTGTAATGATTCAGATGTCTAACTTGGGGTAAGGCCAGAATAAAATTAAATGGGAGATCTGTTATAGATTGAACTGTATCCCCCTACAAGATATGTTGAAGTGCTAACCAATATGGGATGTTTGAGTTACATCAGTTTCTCAATCGCAGTACTACCAACACTTTAGACTACATGCTTCCATGTTGTGGGTGCTGTCCTGGGCATAACAGGATGGGGAGCGTGTCCTCGGCCTCTACCCACTAGAGCTAGTAGCACCAGGACCACCCCCAATCAATCATGGCAATTAAAAATGTATTCAGATATTGCTAAATGCCCCCAAGGGGAAAATTTCCCCCAGTTAAGAATGAATGATTTTTACAATCCATCAAGAGGCTGGCTGGGCGCGGTGGCTCACGCCTGTAATCCCAGCACTTTGGGAGGCCAAGACGGGTGGATCACGAGGTCAGGAGATCGAGACCATCCTGGCTAACACGGTGAAACCTCATCTCTACTAAAAGTACAAAAAATTAGCCGGGCGTGGTGGCGGGCGCCTGTAGTCCCAGCTACTCGGGAGGCTGAGGCAGGAGAATGGCGGGAACCCGGGAGGCGGAGCTTGCAGTGAGCTGAGATCGCGCCACTGCACTCCAGCCTGGGCGACAGAGTGAGACTCCGTCTCAAAAAAAAAAAAAAAAGAATTATTTTGAGAAACTGCTGACACAGAAGAAGCTCTGAAAACAGAGAAGTTACCCTTTTGTAGGGGAAATTTATACCTGTAATGGAAATCCCTATTTGTAAGGGTGTTCCCCTGTCAGTAGGAGGAGGAGAAACGGCCGTAAATTATCAAGAGACTGTCATCAATGGAGAAGGCACGGGTTTAAATTTGTATGGCAAACCTTACCCTGTTTCCTGTGCTTTTCCTGGTCCATCCTCACAACTTCCTCATATACCCTTCCTTCTTTGTTTCAGGTGAAGATGGTATTTCAGCCTGAACTCTAAGCCACCTCTTTGAGAGTTACTCTTGTCTCTGGGTGTCTCCCTGTGCGTATGAGACATACATGTTAGCAAGCTTCTGCTTGTTTTTTTCTTGTTAATCTGTCTTTTGTTACAGGAGTCCCTCCCAGCTGAGACTCAGAAGGGCAGAGAGAAAATTATTTTTTTCCTCTCCTACAGAGCAAATGTGTGGGATTTCTCTGTCTACATGAGAACTGTTTGTCAAAGAGGTCATCGTCTTGTGAGGCTGTGTACCTAGTTTGTTGATTGTTGAGAGCAACCCTGAAGATCCCTCCTTCTGAAATTGCCTTTAGAAGCAGTTTGTGAAACTTTCAAGAAACTTGGACATATTCCTCACATAACATTCCACAGCTCGCCCAGCTCCTGCATTCCTGAGACGCGACTTCACATGAGTTGCAATGACTTAAAAATAGAATCTCTCAAGAGGGATGAATATGACACTCACGTGTGCCAAGACGTGTGCATCTTAGTCACTAAAAGTGCCAGGCACAGTGGCTCACACCTTTAATCCTAGCATTTTGGGAGGCCGAGGCGGGCAGATCACTTGAGGCCAGGAGTTCGAGACCAGCCTGGGCAACATGGCAAAACTCCCGTTAGTACTAAAAATACAAAAATTAGCCAAGCACAGTGGTGCACACCTGATATCCCAGCTACAAGGGAGGCTGAGGTATGAGAATCGCTTGAACCCGGGAAGCAGAGGTTGCAGTGAGCCAAGATCGCATCACCGCACTCCAGCCTGGGTGACACAGCAAGACTCTGTCTCAAAAAAAAAAAAAAACAAAAAGAGTCCTAAAAGTGTTCACACCTTTTCACCAAATACACCAACTAGGGAACATTATGGGTCTATGCACGATACCCTAATCTTATGGGTACTGATGCAGCAGAGGATTATTTGTATCAGGAAAAAATGGAAATGATGAATTCCCTCAAAATGGGGAACTGGTTAATTAACTTTTGGTACATTCACATGATGGGATACTCCTAAGACACTCAAACTTCAGTTTTAGAAAAAAGATTATCAAACATGCACAGCATAATCCCAATTAGATTGTAGCAAATACTGAAAGGACAGACCTCAACATTGGCGGGGTGGGGGTGGGGATTCTAATGTTCCTCTTTTGGGCTTTTTGTATTTTTATTTCATTTTCTTTCTTTTTTCTTTCTTTTTTCCAGTGGATACATATTCTTTTGTAACAACAACAAAAAAAAGGTTTATTGAGATATATAAAAATTTACCCTATTTTAAAGGTGCAGCTCTATAGATTTGGCAAATGTATTGTGATGTCGCCACCATCACAACCGACATATAGAATGTTCTGTTGACCTAAAGAAAGAAATTGAGGCAAAATTAATACAGAATTTATCTGGGCCAAGGTTTAGGACTGCAGCCCAAGACACATTAAGAAGGGCTCCAGAGAACACAGGAGAGGCTTGAGTTTTGTATTGCTTTTGTTTTTTTGAAAAAGGACAGGCCGGGCGCGGTGGCTCATGCCTGTAATCCCAGCACTTTGGGAGGCCAAGGCAGGCCGATCACATGAGGCCAGGAGATGGAGACCATCCTGGCTAACACGGTGAAACCCCGTCTCTACTAAAAATATAAAAAATTAGCTGGTCGTGGTGGCAGGTGCCTGTAGTCCCAGCTACTCGGGAGGCTGAGGCAGGAGAATGGCGTGAACCCAGGAAGTGGAGCTTACAGTGAGCCGAGATCGCACCACTGCACTCCAGCCTGGGCAACAGAGCCAGACTCCGTCTCAAAAAAAAAAAAGGACGAATCATCAGGAGAGGGGCCAATTATCAAAGTTGTTTTTTAGGAATTCTCATTGGCTTACAGAAATAACATTGAATAACATTGATTAGTGATTGGCTATGCACTGTTGCACTATAGGGCATGCCCAGCATACGGGGCATTTCAATGTCTTTCTGGACCTGACAATTTAAAGGGGCTCACATTCCTCAGATGAAAAAGGTTTTTTTTCTTTCTCAGTTTCTATCACCCCAAAAAGTCCCCTGTGCCCGTTTGTAGTCATTCCACTACTACGCCTTGCCAGGCCCTGGCAACTACTGCTCTGTATTTTCTGTTACTATCGCTTTGCCTTTTCTAGAACGCCATATAAATGGAGTTGCATGGAACATAGTCTTTTGGGTGGGCTTTTGATCTCTTAGCCTATTTTTAAGATCTGTCCATTGACTTCCAGACTTCTTATGACACAGTCAAACAGCATTAATGCTTAATTGGGTGAGCCCTGTCAGTTGGGGGTTCCATTCCTTACAGTTGGTAGTATTCTGAGCTGATATAATATAGAGATTGCCTTTGAAATTCTACTTATTCCTCAAGACCCTCCTTAACACCACTTCCTCCAAGGAGCCTCTCAGAATAGTTCTGTCTCTTAGAACAGTTATGACTCCTTCTCTTTGAATCCTTGTGGCATATTAGGACATTCATCTTCTCCTTTGTAATATAGTTAATTGTGTCCTGGCTTAATCTGTCCCAGTATTTCCAACCAATTAGATGTCAATGAGGCTTCTTAAGGCCAACAGCTATCGTATTCTTGCAATCGCCTCACTGCATAGCACACAATTAGCACTGGTCTGATTCCTATTTCCATCACTTTCCCAGCGTGTTGCCCTCTCTGCCCTGGTCATTCTGTCCTCCTCACTGTCCTGCACATGAGCTGGGCTCACTCTCACCCCTGTGGCCTCCAGGACACTACAGGCCAGTGTTTGCAGGCCTCACAGACAGCATTGTTTATAACGGGAAGGAATGCTAGGTGTCTGAGCCTGTGGAGGTTCCCTGCCCGGCACACTGCAGGGCTGGCAGGCTCCAAATATACTTCTCAGGAGAGGCAGCCAAGAGCCCTTGCGTGAATTCTAATCTCTACCCGTGGCCTCTCCAGGCTTTGTTTCTGGTCTCTCAAAAACTGACCTCTTTGAGAAAACAAACAATTCAACTCTGCAGGGTGTAGCTAAGCATATAGAAGGGGGTACTAAGTTGTTACTCCCAGTAACGAATCTTGTTATTTTGCTGCAGGACCTCTCAGAACTTTTGGAATGGTCATGTGGTTTGTGGATCTCTAGCAGATGATACAATGCCCAGCAGTTCCCATATGTATTTAACCGCAGACTCTGCCCCATTAAAAAAAAAATCTTGAAAGTAATTACAGACTCAGGGGAAGATGCAAAAATAGCGCAGAGAAGTCCTGGGTGTGCTCTCCGCTTCTTTCTGTATTTTGTCTTAGCCACGTGTAGGAGGCTCAGACTTTCAGAAGCTGCCTTCAAAACTTAAGCACTACTTTTTGTTTTGAGACGGAGTCTCACTCTGTCGCCCAGGCTGGAGTGCAGGGGCGTGATCTCAGCTCACTGCAACCTCTGCCTCCCAAGTTCAAGTGATTCTCCTACCTCAGCCTCCCGAGTAGCTGGGACTACAGGCACGCCCCACCACACCCGGCTAATTTTTTGTATTTTTAGTAGAGACGGGGTTTCGCCATGTTAGCCAGGATGGTCTCTATCTCCTGACCTCGTGATCTGTCCACCTCAGCCTCCCAAAGTGCTGGGATTACAGGCATGAGCCACGATACTTTTTACTAAGATCTCCTGCTTTAACAAAGACAAAGAGAGTCCATTCCTTCCAAAGATCTGAGAGGTCTTCACATTTAGGGATGGAGTACATTCATCTGTGAGCAGCACACACACAATGCGGCTTTCACGTGTAGCTTCTATATTCCAAGGGCCAGACCCAGAATATACATTTTAAAACTTGTTAGCAGCAGCCGCAGGCAAATTAAAGCCCAACCAAAAGACCGTATTTCAGAGTAGAGTGCATGTTAAGCAGCTTATTCCTCCCAGATATCTAGTCATGGACACTGGCAATCAGAAACAGGTAAGCAAGCCCTAATTACAGAGATACCAAGAAGTGAGAGGTCAGAAAGGAGAGAGAAAAACCAGCTGAACATGGCATTCTGCTCTCTAATGCTGCCCTAAGATTGCCACTTGCTCGAAGTGTAATTTGTACCCAAGGAAGGCTAAAATGATGGCACTCCTGACTCCTGACTTGGGGAACTCCTCACCTGCATTCGAAGTTCATCACAGATATTCTGGCTTTTGAATTGTGTTTCTTTTTCCTCTTTCTCTCCAGCCGTGGCCTTCTTCTCTCCCCCAAATAGATCCAATTGCATCAGCCATGGCCTTCTTCCCTGAATCCGCCATACCCTGCCTGGCCTTTGCATGCACAGTACCTGCTGCTGGGCGCGCCCTTCCCGCCTCTGTCTGCAGAAACCCTCTCCAGTGCCCCCAGCTGGAAATAACCACTCCCTCTCCTGGGCTTTCTTGGCCACATTCTTATTCATCAGGATTTTTCTGCAAGGGCCAGAAACTTCAAACTAATTTATGCAAATATGGGCAATTTATGGGTCTCAAAACCAAACTCTAGGAAGGGCAGTGATGCCAAGAGGCAGGGATCAAACTTCATTCACCAAGGAGCCCAGGGGCAGGAAGGAGGCGTCAGAGTTGGGCCAGGGCGGGGAAGTGTTCTGTGTTCAGCAGCAGCTTCCATTCAAATCATTTAGTGGGTGCAGGGCCAGGGAGGCCAGAGGAGGCTGTTGGCGCTATTGGCAGGAGAATTGGGAAGACGTGATGGGAAGATAGAGCACTAGCTGTCAGGATGGTTCCACCTCTGCTAAAAAGGGATTACATTTGACTTCTTGGGACACCTGTGGAAGCTCCGTCCTCTCATGCTGGTTTGTGAGCTCCTTAAAGGGCAGTGCCTGGTCTTGTTGGTATTTCTGCCACCCCAGGGCAGGGCATGGGCACAGCAGTGCCTACACCCAGAGGGCCTCAATCATGTTTGTTGGGTCAAATAGTCATTAATAAGGTCGTTTGGCACTGATGAACTTCACGTGGCGTAATTCATGAAGCGTGTGACATTTAGGACCTCTGGGTGGGTTAAAGAGCAGATGAACAGTTAACAAGTCGTCAAGGTCACCTTTCCCCTAGCAGACTGACTCACCTGCCTTTAGCCTAACCCATCGTTATTTCTCTAATTAAGATAAAGAAATAAAGCAAAGATTTACTGTCAAGTAACCTAGCTACTGCTTTGTTAAATTTTTATCTGTGAAAGATTAATTATCTGATAGTGCCTTATTTTGGATTAGTACAGTCATGATCATGATGATGAAAAACACCGTTACAGGTTTTAACTTACCAAGTCCAACATTTCTTTATTTTCTCTAAGTGGCTGGCCTCCCCTTTACTGCTATGGCAGCATGAGATAAAGCAGTTGACAATATTCCAGTCAACTGTTACTTTTAAAAAGAGAGGTGTTCATTTTAGACTTACTGTCCCAAGACCTCTAGAAAAAAAGTTCACATTAAATAAAGGGATTTTTTGAGAAGCATATAAATAGTTTGCTCTATTGGGCAGCAGGAAATGCTGGGCGTGCTGTGTACTCAGGGCTCACGGGGTGGGAAGGAAGTGGCCTGGAAGCAGAGGGCTCTCCCTCCAGGCCCCATTGACAACTTGGGTATTATCCTTGGTCCTACACTCTGCTCCCCACCCGACAGATTCTACCTTCTAAAGTTCATCCCACTCCGTCTCCTCATCTTTGCTCCCCATAGCACCATAGTCTGGGCCTACATTCTCTCTCCTAAGACCAGAGGCTGGAAAACTCTTTCTCTCAAGGGCCAGTGAGTGTTTTAGGCTCCATGGACAAGCGGTCTCTGTCCCAGCTGCTACTCAACTGGGTGCCTGAGTTGAAGTGGCCACAGCAGATGCATAAGTGGTGGGTGTGGCCACGCTCCAGTAAACCCCAGGCTGCAGCTGGGTTGTACCCTCAGGTTGTTGCTTGCCAACCCCTGGAAGCATCCGTTAGCCACTTCATCTCCAGTCATTGGCCTGGGTTTTTCTCTTCTTTATATCCCCAGACCCTTACGGAGTGTCTTGCACCTAAGAGATATTCAATAAAATTTTGTTGAAAGAATGAATGAGTTCCCTAATCTAAGCATGCATACCTATGAGGTCATTCTATTACTGAGCTGCCAAATATTGTTTCCAATTTCATTAACTTAAGAGATTTGGAACTCTTTGGAGATTTACTAAGAACTAGAAATCCATTTCTCTCCTAACCACACAATGTACATATTTACTTACTGTTCTAAGCACACTTGTTTTAGAAACACAGAATCCAGCATCTCTTACTGTAAGCATTTTAAAACACCTTCCTGTTAGTGAAGGTAAGCGTGGTAAGTGTGATCAGATCTTAAACAAGAGGAATTTTGTTTTCATTTAAACAAGAGCATCTCAGACATAAGAGAATGATGAAAAGGTCTGTCATTGGCAGGAAGAATACGATATCATTAAACTTTGTGTTCGGTCAGACATATTTTGCATGCCTTTATGGTTAATCATTCTTAGAAGAGATTCCTCACCTTATTACTCCAAATCACAGCAAAAAGGCTTTGTTTTAGCTGTTTTGCTTTCATTTAGAAGGGACGCCATGGGTCACACAGCTTCCCTCTGCCTAAACATCACCTCATGCGGAGGGGTGTGTTCCCTTTGGGACTAAGCTTGAGTGTCCTACCCTGAGAGGGCACAGAGTAAGATTTGGGTGAAGTATCCGCCACCCACATTAGCAGATTCTTCCAAGGTACTATGTTTTAACAGCTGTTAGAGAATGACAGAGCCAAATCCCACCCCAACAGACAAGCAGAGTTTGGGGCTAGACCCCTTAGGTAACTATGCATATCTCAGGGGCCAGCAAGCTGCCATAGCTGGCTTTCCCCGGCTTGTGGGAGCCCATTGTACACATCTGCTCCCAGTGACTTCACACTGGTAGCCTGAAGTGAGTGATGATGGGAGTATTTACACAATGGAAATAGGCCAATGATACAAATCAGGGCATTCTAACACTGTGGGTGTGAGACTGATCAATGTTACTTGGTTCCTGCTTTCAAAGAGTCTGTCTGGGAGATAAAGCATGGACATAGGAGAAGATCCTAATAATGTCAACCTCTCAAAGGGACCTTATGTAAATTTCTTAACCCCTCTGCATCTCAGTTTTCTCATTGATAAAATGGGGGTAATAATACCTCGCAGAGGAGATAGAAGGATTAAATGAAATAATGTATATAAAGCATATAGCTTGTGGGAAGGTTGATAGTATGTACTTATTAAAGGTGACTATTGTTATTACTGACTAACTAAAGAAGAAAGGGTTTAAGGATGAGAAGAGTATCAGGAAATTAAGATCTGAGGCAAGTGAGCCTATGGCAGGAGTTTTAGTCTACAGACTACTGAATAGCTAAAGGGTCAGTGTCAGCCATCTGGTCTACTCTGAAGGCCTAAATAGCATAAGAATCTTCCAGGAGGAGGTTTGGTTCTGCTCCTGGCTCTCATATCACTTCTGCACGTGATGTAAGTGTTCACTCGCAGCCTCATCTATCAAAGAAATCAAAAAATAATCAGGAGAGAAACAGCTGCTATCAAAACCCGCTCAGCTGGCCCCAACCCAAGGTCTCAGGAAGAAGACAACAATACATGGAGCCTACAATGAAATTGGTGTCTATGGAAGCAGGAAAGAATCACATGCCTGCTACAACACGCTCTGAATGGGCTGATTCCACTGTGCTTTCAAAAGGAAGCTCTTACCATGGTAACTGTGTCAATGTGGACACTCTGAGCAAATGCAAAAAAGACACAGGCTAAGCTCCTGTTTCCTTCCAGGAAGTAGAAAATATTGTCTCATGTGTGTTTCTGGAGGATTCTTTTAACAATTTTGTTGAGTTTATACCTTCCTCACCATGGAAATCCAAATTAATAAAAGTAGAAATATTCCAAATTTTACACACTAGGACTTAGAGATGTATCTGTTTATGCACTCAAATGAGACGGCAAGTGAGCAGTTTGCTAACAAAGGACTCCTTTCAGATGGTGTCATCCATAGTTGCCATTGGATATGAGTTACCAGTTAAAATTCTTAGTTGTAGCAGCAGAAACCAGTTTTGCTATTTTAAGCAAGATGGGAATTGATTAAAAGGACATTGAGAAGCTCAAAAATTCTCTTGGCAGGATGGAGAGCCAGGCTTGGAAGTAACGCCCCCAGGAAATCCCTCCCCTACCCACTCCAAATAATGCCACCACTGATACTGCAGGGCATCGCCAACACTAGCGGCACTCCTGACACTGGACGTCACCAGACTCCAGCTGTGGCTGCAGCCACAGCCGCTGTCAAGACTGCCTGCGGAAACTGGACATAGCTCCTGGCTTCTTCACTAGCATGGATTGTGTACCACCTCTATTTCTATATACTATGAGCTTCTTAAGCAAGGCTTGGCATGGGTGCGTATGATTGGTGGAACTTACATAATACGCCCATTCTGAATTGCATAGGAAGCTGAGAAAGTGAGAAGTTGGCATCATTAGCTTTGCTACCAGGAGTGTTCTCTGCTATTTAAGGTAGGGGATTCCATAAGCATAAGAAAAGGGATTCAAATCAAGTAAGAATGCTTCTGGTTGCAAGTAATAAAATATCCAACTAGGCTGGGCGCAGTGGCTCATGCCTGTAATCCCAGCACCTTGGGAGGCCAAGCTAGGTGCATCACTTGAGGTCAGGAGTTCAAGATGAGCCTGGCCAACATGGTGAAACCCCCGTCTATACTAAAATACAAAAATTAGTCAGGCGTGTTGGTGCATGCCTGTAATCCCACCTACTCGGGAGGCTGAGGCAGGAGAATCCCTTGAACCTGGGAGGCGGAGGTTGCAGTGAGCCGAGGTCGTGCCACTGCATGCCAGCCTGGGCAACAAAGTGAGACTCCATCTCAAAAAATAAATTAAATAAATAAATAAATAAATAAATAAATATCCAACTAAAATTGACCTAAATAAGAATGGCGTATTTTCTCATATAATGAGAAGTCCAGGAGTAGGTGGCTCCAAATTTGGTAAATTTAGTGACAAAGAATGTTAAAGATCCAGATCCCAGCTGGGCATGGTGGCTCACGCCTGCAATCCCAGCACTTTGGGAGGCCAAGATGGGTGGATCACCTAAGGTCAGGAGTTCGAGACCGGCCTGACAAACATGCTGAAACCCCATCTCTACTAAAAATACAAAAATTAGCCAGGTATGATGGTGCATGCCTATACTCCCAGCTACTCAGAAGGCTGGGGCAGGAGAATCACTTGAACCTGGGAGGTGGAGGTTGCAGTGAGCCGAGATCGTGCCACTGCACTCTAGCCTGGGCAACAGAGTGAGACTCCATCTCAAAAAAAAAAAAAAAAAAAAAAAAGAAAAATTTCCAGATGCCTTCTATCTTCTTGCTCCACCATCCATAGAGCACAGACTTTTGCCTTTAGGCTTAGGTCCTTATGGTTAGGAGATGATGGCCATAGCTCCAGACATTACAGCCTCACATATGCAAGTCCCAAGAGTCGTGTTTCTCTTTGCACATCTCTTTTTATCAGAGAAAATACAATATAGAAAGTGTCCCCTTTTGTCTCTCTGGCCAGGAATAGGCCATATAACCTTCCTAATTGCAGAGGAGACTGGGAAATGGAATACCTGACATTTCAGCCTCCATAGTGCAAAGTAGACTCTGCCAAGAAAGACCAAGAATAGGTGAGTCTCTGTTAGATAGGAAACCAGTAGGGTCTGCCGTTGCCACCATTTTTAGAAATGCTGGAAGACTACTAGGCTGGTATTATGAAGTGAGATTACCACTAGATTTCAGCCTACATGAAAATGCTGATCTTTCAGTAGCATATGCCAGGTGTGCTTTGCTGGGAAGGATTCTGAAGCTCTGCCTGGGCTCAGCAGGAAAGAGTAACATCATTGGTTAGTGATGACTGCCATGGGTATGGGAGAAGGAAGTGTCTCCACATGGGCCACAATTTGCATACCCATTGTGGACAGAGACCAGTCTGTTTTGTGAACTTCTTCATTTCCTTGCAGAGCATTTTTGTCTGCTTTTGAAGGGCTGAGTGCACCAGGGGAGTTCCAGCAGGGACAGCTGTGGGCCTGGAGCTTCTGTGATGCCTTACCCAAACACCACCATCCTGCATTGTTCTTTTCCTGATGTCCAGGTTGTCTCTTTGGCACACTTTTCCAGCCAAAATGATTGGCACAAATCCTTGGCCTGTGAATAAATGCTGGTGAGTGCCAGCACTGGCCGGGGGAGAGGATCAACTGTGTTATGGGAAGGCTCAATATTTTCTGCAAACGCTTACTTCACCTGTAACGGCCACTCTTGGTGAACTTGCTCTTATCTCATAATTTTTGCTCCTGAGATCTAGGGATGTTTGGTTGAGATCTACGTATTTCAGGGTAAGATGTAACTCTGTCATTTGGCCCTTCTTCAAGCACATAACCACAAAGAAAAATATTATTAGTAAACACCCATTACAACCACAACCACTGCCACCACTAATGATAAGTAACACAATAGAGTAAACTTTACAACAGCCCTCTGAGTTAGTCAACTGTGGGTAATAACAGTAGCTAACTTTATTGAGTGATTACAGCCTTCCAGTCACTGCGCTAGGTATTTACATACATTCATTCAATCCTTGCCACAATAACCCGAGGGAGGTAGTGTTGTGTTTTCCATTTGCCAGATGAGGACATTGAAGCCTAAAGAATTTAAGGAGCTTCCCCAAGGTCACATAACTTGTAAATGGCAGACAGTAGATTCAAATACATGTCTGTCTTTACTCCCAGGTTTAAGCTTCTACGCCTCCTATCCCAGTGCTCTTTATTGTTATTATTTTCATTTTAGCATACTATTATTTCCTTTTTGGTAAACTGAGGAAACTGAGGTATAACGATTGGGAGTGGTCCCTTGATGGCCACCCAGCTGGTAAAGGACAGAGCCACCTGGGAGCCTCCGCAGGCTCCTTACTCCACCACCCCATGGGGTGAAGACATGATTGTTGCTGCAAAAAAGTAGGGCTGCAGCTGTGGAGAAGTTAGGAGATTGGGGCACAATAGCTCAATTGCCTAATCCATCAGACATCTTTGCTACTGTATTCAAGCTTCCAAACAGAATGCCATGTAGCACAGCTGAAAAGGGCAATACACTAGAAGGCAGGTATACCCGGATTGGCTTCTTGGTCAATTACTTGACCTCTCTGAGCCTCGGTCTCCTATTCGGGAAATACAACCCACTTTATAGAATCGTTGGGAGAATTAAATGAGATAGCTGCAGGAACTATGCACTTCATGCCTGACACTTAAATGCACCCACCATCGTTTGCCCTCTCCACAGGTCTTTTTTTCTCTTGTATCCAGAAGGTTTGTACTTCTCACACTCTAATCAGGAAATGTTTCAGGAGGACAGTGAGTCCTGGTCGTGGGCTTTTCCCACAGGGATTGACCAGAAGCCTGGACACTTTCACTGTTTTTCAGTGAATGCATCTTTCAAGGCTTTAGGCCTTGTAAAACAAAACCATATTGCATTAGAGTCACATGTCTTGAATGGTGAGTGTGAGCTAACAACTGCACCTGTTTGAAAGCAGAGATGGCATCTTTCATATCAGAGGATCTCGGACCCAAGACTTTGCTTGGAAGATGGAGATCAAAAGTCTGAGTGACCACCAATGGTTAATAGGTAGCCAATCTTTATTCATTTATTCTCTTGAAAGTGCATTTTGAGATTTTCAGACAAGAGCTACAATTTAGTCATGCTGTATACCAGACTGCTGGTCACTTAGGAAAGTGTCCCTTATGGTTGCCTACAGATAGCAATGTGTGGGCCCTCCATTGAGTGCTAAAGTCACCACTTCTAGACAATAAGTTCCATGAGGGTAGGAACGTTATAGCCTAGTCCACAGTAGGTGAGCTGGTAAGTGGTGATGTTGGATGTTGCTGGCAGGTGAATGAATGGGTGGGTGGACGGATGCGTGGATGGGTGGTCTCAACTTTTTCAAAAAGGAGATTCTGTAGAACAAAGACACCATAAGAACAAAAGTAGATTGCCACTTCCCTCTGGGTTTTTGGCAAAAATTTTCCCCCTCAAGTTACATAAGCACATAGGTAAAAAGAAAAACTGGATGAAGGAAGTGAGCCTGTTGGATGACATTAGTCCTGGCCACAGCCGGCCACCACAGACAGAAGACTCTCCCCAGGCTCCAGAGTGGGCCACAGCCACAATCGCAGCCATGCCACTTCAGCTTTCAGTGATGAGCTCACACTGACACCCACGGTCTCCTTTCCTGGGTTAAGAAGGAAGTGGCACCAGAAGTCAACAATTTTATGTTTTCCTTTTTTGCCTGTACAAATGGAAGAAGCATGAAACAAAAATTCCCCCTAAATCTTACAACAGCCTTGGAGAGTTAGTAACAGCTTCATTTGAAAATCCTACCGACTTTGCATAAAGCCACCACAAGTGTTTTTAGTAACAGTTTGGAGGGCAAAAAAGAGCACTGACGTACAAAGGACCTACTGTGTGCCATGCACGGGGGAGCTGGTTTTACAGGTAATGTCCCTTATCCTCAGAACAGTCCCGTATTTTCATTCATGTTAAATGATGGAAGAAAATGGGTCACATGACCCACCCAAATTTGTAAAAGTAACAGATTCAAATCTAGCTCTAAAATAAAATATTAGGTTTAAGTAAGAAATACCCAGGCGAGGTAACAAGAAAGTTGAAATAGAGTGCTGGATGGATTAGCACATTTACATCTTGCATAAACCATAAATAATAATGCAATGATCACCTGTTTTTGTTTTGATTTACTGACCCACGGTCTGTAGATCACGTGCCTTAGGTTTTTGTTTTTTTACTACTAGAAATAGATTTGAGCCAACACATCTACGACCTTATCTGATTCTCTTATAATCACTTCAGATGTCTGCCATAACATTTACCATTCAGTGTTTCCCAAACTGGTGCCTTGTGGAACACTTCTCAATGAGGTATTATAAAAGGGGAATTGAAAAAGTCTTGCATGCACAAATTTAAATTAAACAGAGGTAAGCAAAAGTACAGATTTATTTAATGCCAAACTTTCCCGTTTCCAGAATCTTTAACTGTTAACGTGTATAAGAAATTGTCGACTGGGCATGGTGGCTCACGCCTGTAATCCTAGCAATTTGGGAGGCTGAGGCGGGCAGATTACCTGAGGCCAGGAGTTTGAGACCAGCCTGGCCAACATGGTGAAATGCTGTCTCTACTAAAAATACAAAAAAGTAGCCGGGCGTGGTGGTGGGCGCCTGTAATCCCAGCTACTCGGGAGACTGAGGCAGGAGAATCGCTTGAAACCGGGAGGTGGAGGTTGCAGTGAGCCAAGATCACGTCATTGCACTCCAGCCTGGGCAACAAGAGTGAAACTCCATCTCAAAAAAAAAAAAAAAAGAAAGAAATTGTCAAGGGGCATGCAGTATACAGCATTGCCCAAACTTATTTGAGCTCAGAATCTTTTTTTTTTTTTTGGTACCATGCTTATGAACAACTCCAAAAAGAGTAGGCAAAACCTTGACTACACAGATTTGTGTTTTGCAAGCTCAGCCCTAGAAGCTGCCATCAGATGAACTGTGAGTCTGTTCTTCGTGCCTGGCACTAACTTGGGCCAATTCAGCTTCTGAGAGTCCCAGACTGGCTGGGTTCATCTTACCTTCCAACCTACTCTATTAATGCTTAATAATAATTTTTCATGGAAAGTACTTCAAAGTCTCAATTTCTTTCACCCACACACCAGGCCATCATTAGCCATTGACATGTTGATTTTCCATTGAGAGCAGGAGCTACGTCTTGCTCACCTTCCTGTCACCTTGGTTAACCCACTCATGACTGTCGAAATGGTCCTCAGTTAGATGCCTGCCCATCTCTCCAGGTATGCAAGGCAAACACTTCTATCTCCAATTGACATTAACAAAACTGAGGCGCGAAGTGAAAGTTAGAAAGTGGCACAACCAGGACTAGAACTCACAACTTGGGATGCCGAGTCATGAGGTCATTTTGCTAAAGGCATGCTGGTCTACGGCTCTAAACTGTTACTGAATAGTATTCTAAAAGGAAAAAAGATTGAGATTAAAATTTAAAAAATGACCACATTGGATTCTTGCCGCTCTCACCTCACAAGACTATCTGAAGAGCCCGGAGGTTAGTTGCTGCAGGGCTGAAGATGTTAACAAACAAAAAGAATGAAACAAACTCTTTCACAACCGGACAAATGAGAACAGTAAACAGGAACCCATCCTGCCACTGCCCAGGGAAACACATACAGACTGAAATCGCTCCTCTGTGGACCATCATATGAAACTCGCCCCTGCGGCCACACTGTTCAGAACTGTGCCAGGTGGTTACCCAGCTGACCCAAATCCTACCATCCAGTACTCAGTCCTTTGCCCGTTAACTAGACCTTAGGGGAGTAATATTGGGGATAGAAAATACATTATAAATTTAATTTAGCTCAATGTTATCCTATGTGCCTTTGCGGCATGCAGGCACAGTCAGGGGCTATTGGCCTTACTGCTGAGGGGCTGTGAGCCCTACAGTGGTTGCTTTTTCCCAAGGTTCTTTATCAAAGTTCCCAAGCTGGCCTGCATAGAGGAAGCGTGAAAGGCTTTCTAGTAATTCAGTTACTGCTCCTAGACCCAGCAGTGAAGGAATGGGATCAACACTGGGCCATAGCCCTAGTCAAAATATGATCCATAGAGCTAAGATGTCGAAACTCAGAAAAAAACACTGCTTAGACTAAGCATTATTTTGATAAAATACTTTCATGTTGGAAAAACCTAGAATTACAAGCATTTCCAAGGGAATGTGTTTACTCCACACTGTGAGTTGCCAGCAGCAGGAGAGAACCACATATTTTCCATGAGGATGAAAGTTCACCTGGATGGAGTCATTTCAACATTCCTACTGACTCAGGGAGATCATCCGGAGAAAGTTCAGATGAGGACACCATAACCCGTGTTCACAAATGGTCAATAAACCCAGATTCGGAGTGTTTAGTAACAGAACTTAGCCTGGAGCGTGTGTAACGTAAGTCAGCAGGTCTGAACCTTAGACTGTCTGGACCACCTCCTCATCGCAGAGGTGGCGATGCTGGGCCTGCCCTGCTCACACGGCTGAAGAGTATCACTGGGAAGGAAGTGGGCTCGTGAGATAATCCAATCCAGTGCTTCCCAGCCTTTAATGAGAAATGGTAAACCAGTGTGAGGAAGAGCACGGATTCTGGAGTCAGACGGCCGTCCAGTGATGGAATTCTGGCTCTGCCACTATCAGCTGTGAGTTGAGCAAGCGCCCTGAAAACTCTGTGACGTGGAAATTACAACACGTGAGCACAGAGAACAGCACAGAGTGCATTCCACAAATGGTGGCTCTTGGCTGACCCAGACCCAGTGAGAGGCAGCTCTGCCCTGGCCCCAGGCTTTACAGGGCCCCAATCCAGCCCCTACCCACTGGGGTGAGGACGTCACCTGGAGCTCATGTGTCTTTCTGTAGACCACATTCCAGGTAACTGGGACCCCAAATTTCCTGCCCAAGTTGCTCTGTTCTCACTTTCAGGTCCTGCATGAAGGGATTCCTTAGGATCTGTCTTCCTGGGGAGCACCACACTGCAGGTGACACCACCCGTGGGCCTGAGGGGTGAAGACAGGCAGCTGTTGTGAGTCACGCACAGAGCTTGGGCATGTGGTCTAAGCAGGCCGAGCCTATGCATGAGAGCCCACTCAGGAGCTGGGGTGAGAAGAGGAGGGGGCAGGCCAGAGGCCAGGAGCGTCCTGCACTGCTACATACTGTGCTGTTAACCTCACGGTGCCCAGAAATTTTACATTTGAACCTTGTCTTCAGGTCATGATGAAGGTATATTTGCAAAGGCAGGAGGATATGGACATATTTATCAGTTTGGTGAGCAACTTTTAAATATTTAAACCTATGGTGCGTGGGCCTCCATGTGCGCTCTTGCCTGGGGCCCCGCAAATGTTAGGGGCACAACTGACTGCTACAATTGTATATGTTTTTCATTGCATCAGCCACTCTATGGAAGATCCCATATTCTACCACGTTGAATATCTGCTCTTTCCCAAGAGTCATATTTACATGGCTTCATTTTTATGAGGAATGAATGAGAAAGTTTTATGGCTTCTAAAAATTTCATTTTTAGAGACAGGGTCTTACTCTGTCACCCAGGCTGGAGAGCAGTGCTATAATCATAGCTCAGTGCATCTTGGAACTCCTGGGTTCAAGCCATCCTCCTGCCTCAGCCTCCTGAAGAGCTTGGATGATAGGTATGCACCAGGCCCTGCTTCTTATATTTATTCTTTAAGGGAAGTTCAAAACAAACGTAAAGAAACAACAGCCTGTGGGCCACTGGACATCAGAGTGTAGTTCATCGGGGCGAAGAGGCTTGTTTTAGAGTCAGTGCGGCCCTCGGAATGGTCACGTTGGCCCCTCAGAAGCAGAAGTTGGTTGATCCCTGTTCCAATGCTCAGCCACTAATGAGCCTCAGCTGCTCCCTCCATCTCAGCTTCTGTGCCTTTCTTTAGATTATTATCAAACACATGTGTTTATTTAGCTTCTCATGTATTTCTTATTTTCTGCCCCGCTTAACAGCTAAGGTGTGCGTTCCTTGAGAGTAGAGGCTATGTCTAATATCTCTGTTTCTGGCATAGAACTGAACACATAAGCATAGCTTAGGAATATTTGTTAACTGGGTCATCAAGGTGTCTGACAGGACGAAGTAAGTTTGGTTTCTAACATAGTTTTAGATGTTCTGAATTCTTCTAAAAATAATACATTTGAAAACAACCCTTTATTTCAAACAGTGGTTTATCTCTGACTCTAAAACTGATGGATTTCAAAGTACATGGTTTCTTGACCAGGTTTTTAAGGTGGCTCATTACTCTACAGACACAGTCTTAAAGCGGCTTCCTCAACGGCTTGACTCACTAACCTTGCTGAATGTCCATGACGAGTAGAACTCGGTGTATTCATTTTTTAACTGATACATAATAGTTGTACATATTGATGAGGTACATGTGATATTTTGATTTGTGCATACGATGCTTAATAATCAAATTAGAGTATTTAGGATAACCACCGCTTCAAACGTTTCTCATTCTCTGTGTGTCCTTGATACAAGTAATTTCTCTTTTAGAAATTCAACCTAAGGAAACCAAGCAGAGTCCACCTTTAAGCCCAGGATGACAGGAGTGACGACATCTGCTTTGACAAGCAGTCATAAAAGTATGTTTTTAAATAAATTCCAGCTTCATGGGAAAATTCTCACAATATAATATTAAATTAAAAAGCAGGATATAAAATTATCTACAGAATATACAGTATAAACCCAAGTGTGTAAGGAACACACACAACTACGTCAAGGCAACAGAATTGCCATTTGTAGTTGTGGAATTCTGAGCAATTTTATTTTCTAATGCATTTTTGTCACATGTGTGAATATATTACAAAAAGTTTTTTCAAAAAATAGGAAATTCCAGTTGGGTACGGTGGCTCACGCCTGTAATCTCAGCACTTTGGGAGGCTAAGGCAGGTGGATCACTTGAGATCAGGAGTTCAAGACCAGCCTGGCCAACATGGTAAAACCCCATCTCTACTAAAAATACAAAAATTAGCTGGGTGTGGTGGCATACGCCTCTCATCCCAACTACTGAGAAGGCTGAGGCAGGAGAATCACTTGAACCTGGGAGGCGAGGTTGCAGTGAGCCGAGATCACACCACTGCACTCCAGCCTGAGTGACAGAGAGAGACTCTGTCTAAAACAACAACAACAAATAAAAATAGGAAATTCCATGAACAAAATTAAAAGTGAAAAATGACACCAAAGAAAATTTTTGCAAGTGAAAAGTGACACCAAAGAAAAATTTTGCAATATACATGAGTCATAAGGTTGCTGTCCCTCATTTATAAAGAACACACATATATCGAAAAGCAAAATATTAACACTTACATAGAAAAATGGTAAAATACCCTGGGGCAGAGATCAGCTCTCCACCAAAACCTGCTTCCCTTTCTCTGCAGTCCTGGCCTTACGCTGGGTCAGCCTGCTCAGGACACTATGTTTTCTGTGTCTCTTGGAGTCTGGTGTGAGTTTGAGGTTCAGCTCTCTCCAGTGGAATGTGACAAAAGTGGGGTGCATGAATTTTATGTCTGGCCCCAAACCCTGGTAAGCAGGTTATAAAACAGTTAAATTCCATTTCCAAAACTTAGTATACAGTGCTGTCAGCACTTTACTGATACGAGCTCATTCCATCCTAACAACAACTCCGTGAAGCAGGAGAGGATCTCCCCACTTTAGAGATGAGAAAGCTGAGGCTAGAGACAAAGTTCACTCTGTGGCATGTGGTCTATTTCTGCATAGAAATGACGTGAAATGTGATACACACTAAAACATTACAGTGCTTATTTCTGAATTCTGACTACAAATACTGTGGTACATATGTTTTCTCAACAAACGTACCATCTGTAATTACACGTGAAATTTTTAAATAGTAAAAAAATTTAAATGACAGCAAAATAATTAGAGTTTTATGGACACTAGATTGCACAATTTAAGACAGTCGGCCAGGGCCGGGCACAGTGGCTCACGCCTGTAATCTCAGCACTTTGGGAGGCCGAGGCGGGTGGATCACCTGAGGTCATGAGTTCCAGACCAGTCTGGCCAACACGATGAAACCCTCTCTCTACTAAAAATGCAAAAATTAGTAGGGCGTGGTGGCGAGCGCCTGTAATCCCAGCAACTTGGGAGGCTGAAGCAGGAGGATTGCTTGAACCCAGGAGACGAATGTTGCAGTGAGCCGAGGTTGCACCACTGCACTCCAATAACTTTTAAGAGGAGTAGATTATATGTAAACCATCCCCATCTCCCTACTTTTTTTTGGTAATTCTAAACACAGAAAACACAATTTTGTCTGCCAAAATTGTAACCCAAGTGTATTAGTCCATTCTCACACTGCCGTGACGAAATACCGAGACCAGATAATTTATAAAGAAAAGAGGTTTAGTTGACTCACAGTTCTGCATTGCTGGAGAGACCTCAGGAAACCGACAGTCATGGCAGAAGGCAAAGGAGAAGCACGTACCTTCTTCACCGGGCGGCAGGACAGAGTGAGTGCAAGCGGGGAAAGGCCAGACGCTTCCGAGCCCGTCAGATCTCGTGAGAGCTCACTCACCATCACGAGAACAACATGGGGGAAACCGCCCCCATGATTCAATCACCTCCACCTGGCCCCGCCCTTGACCCTTGAGGATTATGGGGATTATAATTTGAGGTGAGATTTGGGTGAGGACACAGAGCCAAACTGTATCCCCAAGTCTGAAAGCTTTGAAAGGAGGACAGAAGGGCTGACAATCACTGGGAGGTCACAATCCACCCTGATCCTTCTGTCTAAGTGATATGGAACTGTGCCCCATTTTAAACCATCCTGCCTCCCAAAGGCTCCCACAGTGTCTTAGACACGCAACAGAAGGTGCTCGGAACTGGATATCCCTTGGCATGACGAAGTCAACAGCACCGCTGCCGGTTACAGGGTGACTGTGGTGAACGAACAGTGCCACTGTCACGGGAAAACACTGGGCACCGCTCTGTATGACGGAACGTGACCCTCTGACTCACATCCACCTGTGATAGGGAGGCCTACCTACCTGGGCTGCCCATGCCGGCCGCTGAGCTTGTGACAGATGCACCTATACTAACAAGTTCTAAATCAGCAAACTTTTTCTGTAAAGTGCCAGAGAGTGAATATTTTAGGCTTTCAGGCCATACAGTCTCTGTTGCATCCCTGCCTCATAGTGTGAGTGTGGTATGGCTGTGTCTCAATAAAACTCTCTTTTTTTTTTTTTTTTTTTTGAGGCAGAGTCTTGCTCTGTCACCCAGGCTGGAGTGCAGTGGTGTGATCTCGGCTCACTACAACCTCCGCCTTCCAGGTTCAAGCAATTCTCCTGCCTCAGACCCCCGAGTAGCTGGGATTACAGGCATGTGCCACCATGCCCGGCCAAATTTTTGTATTTTTAGTAGAAATGGAGTTTCACCGTGTTTGCCAGGATGGCCTTGATCTCCTGAACCTTGTGATCTGCCTGCCTTGGCCTCCCAAAGTGCTGGGATTACAGGCATGAGCCACTGTGTCCAGCCAATAAACTCTTTTTACAGCCGGGCACAGTGGCTTATGCCTGTAATCCCAGCACTTTGTGAGGCAGAGGCAGGCGGATCACCTGAGGTCAGGAGTTCGAGACCAGCCTGACCAACATGGTGAAACCCCATCTCTACTAAAAATATCTTTAAAATTATCCAGGCATGGTGGCACATGCCTGTAATCCCAGCTATTCCGGAGGCTGAGGCAGGAGAATCGCTTGAACCCGGGAGGTTCAAAACAAAAAAACAAAACAAACAAAAACAAAAACTCTTTTTACAAAGACTGGCCCGACAATTCATCCACCTAACCGAAAACCAGTTGCACCCCAAAGGCTATTGAAATTTTAAAAACTGGCCAACCTTCCATGGTTTGCCACACTGTGATACACTTGTGCCCTTGCCCTCCAAGGGTGGCACCTGGATCAGCAGCACCAGCCTCTCCTGAGAGCGAGTCAGAAACGCGGAAATCACGCCCCTCCCCAGACCTACTGAGTCAAGATGTGCGTTTGAAGAAGATCCCTGGTGATTGGTGTGCACATTACAGTGTGAGAAGTCCCGGCGGAGAGCAGATGCTCAAGCCCAGCCGCTCCTTGGTATCTCCTGGGGAGGTTTAAAAACATACTGATGCCCTGAGATTCTGATTTGGTACTGGGTAGAGTCCAGGCACGGGGATTCTGGAAAGCTTCCAGGATTGTCATATGTGGTCAGAAGTGAGACTAAATAGAGATGGTCACCTGAACATACCCAGTGGTGACTCAATGATGAAAACACTGCCTCTCAGAAAGATGGATAAAACACTCAGCAGCCCTGGCTTGGCTGTCGAGATGCCCATTTGTTTCTACCTTGCCAGGGTGCTGGCCTGCACCCAGCCCCAGGGAGGGGCCCCCTGCCCACTCGTGGTCTCCTGAGCCGGTTCTTGTGTGGCTTTCACAACCAGTCCATGGAGGACAGAGAGTCCTGGGAGCCAGGCCCAGCCACGTGCAGAGCAAGAAGCCAGGTGCTGTGATTTAGCTCCTGGAGACCATGGAAATACTTAGATGTCATTGATCCAGATAGAATGGATGACTGTGAAGTCAGGACAGATCATGTGATCAGAAAGCTTAACCCTGAATTTCATCACAGAACATATTTATAAAAAGAACAAACACGAAGCTGCTGGACGCCAGATGGAGTTCTTTAGAAATTTCCTGGGAGGAGGGTGGGGGTGGGCAGTCATCACAGCACATGCTGCCGTGGATCTGTTTGGGGGACCACCAAAGGCGAGGCATCCGTGAGAGCTAAAGATGCATTAGGAAACAGGATGCCACTTGTGCAGACTCTGGCTGTGGCACCGTGAACTGAGGACGGCAACACACCTTGGTAGTGGTGTGCAAACCTGCTCCCAGGAAGCCTGAGGGTGAACTCCTGGGCAGCCTAGAGAGGTTGGAATCAGGAATCCCTGCTCCTTCTCTCCAACCCAAAATCTGCAGCCCCCTCCCGAAAAACTACTGTGCAAGGGTGCAAAGGAAACGCATGGTCCCCCCATTCGCCTTGCGATCACAGCAGCCCCCTTCGTTGCCCCAGCTCCTTCCACACTGGCAGACGGTCTGACCTCTCAGGTCTTCGTCGGCCCAGACACACCTGTGGGCCCTGAAATCAGATGACTAAGCCTCTAACTAAGCTCGCTTAACCATCAGGTCCCATCCACAGATTCGACTTGTGTTTATTTTGGGGAGTCAGCTTTGTTCTTTCACAGATTTTTGGGTGCAGATTTTGGGGTTAAATATTCACAGTGTGAATATTTAAAACGTCTGGCCACAGCATCATAATCAGCCCAAAGCGAGGGCTCAGACGTTCATACCTTGGGAGACTTATCTGGCTTATTATTCCCCAAGTCTGGGGAAGAGAGTGACTTGGAGACTTTGGACAGGAAGTTAGTGTCCGTCCTCTGAAATTGTTTGGCATGGGAAACCGCATCAGAACAAAAAGAGAGGCGATCCTACATTGTATTGTCCAGGGAGGGCTGGCAGGCATACCCTGGGCAGCTCTGGGCAAACCAGACATGTGGTCACTCTACCACACCCTACCATCACGCCACGTCGCCATGTCCTTTGGTAGAATGTTGAGATTCGTTGTGCCTTGTTTGGTCGGGACGAAGTGCATTCAGCATCCATGCAACCTTCACAGCACGTACATTTCTCTAACAGGCCACCGCAGCCTTATTTGATCACATCCGTTGTGCTATACAGAAATTACTCCATTTTTCTTCTACATCTTCCTTCTATATAGTTTTGTCTATAAAAAGCTAATGGTAGTGTCAGGCCACTGTCCTTTGGAGGGATGAGGAAGCTCTTCTCACACACAGCTCAGAAAATGATTTACGGCAAAGACCCACGTTGGAGGCCTCTCAGTATACATTTGTGCTGACGCAAGCTGCCCTTGGGAGCCATTTCGATGGGTAAAAATGCTCGTTTCTAGTGTTTCCAAGATACCATGAACCAGATTGCCTCATGTGGTGAAAAGGGAGGAGTAAATGTCCCCAAATGAACGGTTTTTAAATAATTGTGTAGGGAGATTTGCTGTAGGGAGACTGAATAGCCCAGCTCTTGGGACAAACTGGAGATAGGAACCATTTGCAGGCAGGCAAATGTTTACTAGGTTTAAAGAGCAGGAGGTGCAGCTAAACAGCTAGAGAAACACTTGTGTGGTATTGCCACTGTGGGGATGCTTCCCTAAAGGAATGATATCTGGGATCATTGATAAAACTGGGAAATTAAAGAGTAAGTTTCATCCATTTATTTGCTATATGGCCTTGATGACAATACCTCACTTTCCTTCACCTGTAGAGTTTGAGTAATAGTAGTATGCCCACCCCTGAGGGGTACAATTGGATCATGCACACAGGACTTTCTTGGCACCGGTGCAGGGCACAGGGCACATTGGAAGGGCTTGGTAAATACCAGCTGTTAATAGTGTATCATTTAATGACTTCCTCATGATCGGTCCCTCCAAATGTGTGAGAGTGACACCTGCTTCATCCCTTCCCTGGAGATGCTGTCTGTCTCCAATCACTGAGCCCCTGCGTGTCCGGGAGGTTGGAGAATCCACAGAAATCCTATCCAAGGGGCCTCTTCATTGCTGTGGCTCGATTGTGCTGCCTTGGGGCCTGAGGCCTCTCCTAAGTCACAGACCTGCATCCAGCAAACTGTGTCGGCCTTCACCCCAGTGTCCCCAGAGACTTCAACATCCCCATATGCCACACCGGCATCATCATTTTTTCTCCCCAGTCTCTGCTCATTCCTGTGGTCTCTGTCAGAGAATGGCGCCCCTGGCTTCCCACCACCCTGGCAGGAAAGCTGCATACAGGTTGCTTCTACTCACTCTCCCTTTCTCTCTCCCTTGCTTTTCTCATCAGCAGGTCACTGGGTTGCCAGGGGTTCTGCTTCCTCCCACCTGCCTCTTTTAGACTCCCCACCCAGAGGCTTTTAACACTGACTGCCAGTCCAGTGCTGGTATAAGAAACTGGGACTCTGCACACTTTGTGGTCCACGACTCCTGCAGGGTGGGGCTGATGTCACCTTCACAGGACTTCCACCCAAGGCTGCAGCCTTGAGAGGCTTCCTCCTTCCCCGGCCTGCTCCCCACTCTCTCACAGGTAGGTCTCCCCAGGATTAATTCCTTGATAAAGCTCTTGCATGTGAATATATGTCTCAGGGTCTACTTCTGGTGCACCTGACCTCAGGCACCTCACACTCCGAGTAGACAAGTCTACACGCCATCGGGTCAGTACCCTCTGTTCTATCTCCACTCCATGAGATCCGCCCCTCTGAGATGTTCTTCCTTGCTTTTCTCGCTGCTGGCCCTACCGATACTCAAGGCCCCTTCCAATGGTGTACCCCAGGAAACCTCTCCCGGTTGGCTCACCCTCCCTCTGACTTCAGCTGAGTGCAACTGGGCTGTGTGCTGTCCCTGACCTGAGGCCCTGGGCATATGGTCCGCACTCAGCACCAGCCCTGCCATGTCAGGGAGGGAAGGCATGGGTATCCCTCCACCCTACTTGTGTACATAGGTAAGAGCATGCTCAATTTACTTTACATCTTCTCTTTGTCAAGCTCCTGGATCATTCCAGTTGCTCAGCAAACCTCTTTTTTCAGCCCTGGTAAGAGTCAGGGCTGAAATTTCCCATGTCCCACCCAGTAAGGCCATGGAGACAGTGAAAACATTGGGGTGCGTTCACGCGGGTTGGTACTGTACCCTGGCCACCCGGCCTCTCCCCAGCCCCCTAGATCTCTCCATGAGCCCACATTTAAAGGGTGACCTTGTCACAGCAGAGAGCTTGGGTACCTGCCCCAGCATCTCAGCAAATGGCCAGTCCAGTCCTTCTGTGCATGTGCCTGGCATGTTGTTAAATATTTTGTGGCATAAGTTCTATTTGTGTTGATAGTTTCAGGTAAGAACAAACAGAAGTAGCCAGCGCCATTACCGCGGAGATCCCCAGGGCCAGCGCACAGCGACCTGTGCCTCTTGGTCCTTTCCTCCCCAAATCAGCCCTGGCGCCCTGGCAGATGAGAATCAGATGCTCAGCACCCCCACAGCAACAGTGAGGCAGCTCTGGCAATAAGCAAAAATGGTGGGCGGCAGCCTCCTGGAGCACGCCGGGTCCCTGACAGTAGGGAAAGAAAGCTTTCTACCTAACACCTCTCCTCCAGGACAGTTAGAACAAGTGTGGTCTGGACCCAGAGCATTGGAAGGAGTCTGCTGCCAGCCAAAGGGCAAGCTGTTGCCCCTACCGAGCAGCCCTGCAGAGAGGCTGGCACATCACATGCAGCATTTTTCCAGGTCATGCCAAAGTTGAGATCTTTTTCCAAGCAGGGCACAAAGGATTCCTACTTAGTGCTTTAAGAAGGAAATCATCGCTGTTTACCTTCAAATGCAGACACCCTGAGTAATTTCAGGCTGGTTTGGACATGCAGGATTTGAAGCAGAGCACAGCAAAACAGTTGATAGAATTAATCAGGATGTGAATCAGTGCAATTTGTTAGATACTGCAATATTGCCTTTCATGCTAATTTTTAAATGGCAGAGGCCATCAGGGGCTGGTGGGGACCAGTGTTCAGTGTCCTGTTGCTAGGAAGAGAGGGATAACATCATAGTCTGCAGTCCTGGGCAGATGCATTTTGGGGCCTTATATTGGTTGTGCAAATCTCAGCAGGTTTGGCAGGACAGGACCGCTGCTGTCGTCCCCAGCTGTGGAAAGTAAAAGAGATCAAGTAGGCTGGGCGCGGTGGTTCACACCTGTAATCTCAGCACTTTGGGAGGCTGAGGCGGGTGGATCACCTGAGGTCAAGAGTTTGAGACCAGCCTGACCAATATGGTGAAACCCTGTATCTACTAAAAATACAAAAATTAGCCAGGCATGATGGTGCACACCTGTAATCCCAGCTATTCGGGAGGCTGAGGCAGGAGAATCGCTCGAACCCAGGAGGTGGAGGATGCAGTGAGCCAAGATTGTGCCACAGCACTCCAGCCTGGGCAACAAGAGCAAAACTCCATCAAAAAAAAAAAAAGATAAATTATTCTTGGCTGAATAAAGAATAAAACTCTATACACGCACACACACACACACACTTTATGAGAGGCACATGTTCTGAAATTGTGTAAAAATAGTATTAATAAATTGATGTGAATGTGGCTTCAAAAGTAGATGAGTTCAGTTATGAGTTGGAATTTTCTTCCTGTTGGCTGAAGTGGGTTAACTTAAACAAACACCGCTCTTGCAGTAAAGAAAGATCTACATTTCCATCACAGGTAGGCAGCCTTGGATGAGATGAACAAACGCTTTGCACATGTCAAGTCTATCAGCATTTAGTCATACATGTAGTTACACATCCTTGCTGATTTCATTTCATTTTGTTTTCCTGGAAGGGACCTCGAGCTGCTGCATGAAAATTACATGTTAGTGGTGGGAAAAAGAAAACAACAACACAAAAGTGGCTTTTCTTGACTAGCTGTCAGTAGTGGGAGGGGTGCTGCGGAGTCGGAAACCATTTCTCCTGTGGCTGGCAGTTGCCACTTATACGGATCTACTTATTTGGAGGAGAAAAGAGCTGACACAAAAGGCTCTCTCTGAAATTCTGTGCGTAGAACAAAGCGGCACACGACGAGATGTAGAATTCCATTAGAGGACGGCCCCAGCACTCGCTGTCCTTCACAACGACCACCCCACAGGCGCATGAATAGAAGCCTCAGCCACCCACAGCCTCAGTGCCCGGCAGCGTGTCTCCAGGAAGGAAAGGCCCGGGCACAATGCATTTCTCTCAGGTTTGGCTCAGCTTCCCCGGGGATTTGCACCATCACAGAGAAACCTATCTCTCCTCCAGGGACCCACAGTTGGGGAGGCCACTCCATGCTGTCACCCCTTCCTGTCCCTCTGAAACGTTTCTTCCTTCCACTCATTTCTCCTAGATGAAATTTTAACTAGTATTTTCTTGATATTTTAAATAGACAATTAAATAAAGTCTTGAGTTTCAAGTTCCCCTGAGCAAAAATATTCAGTGCCTCAAACTCAGCAGAGGCAAAAAAACAAACTCACCTATGTCTCCGGCATCCCCTCCTGCACTCCCTACTTGGGTCAGAGGTGTCAGCATAGTGGCGAGTCAATCTCACAGCCCCTGCCTGTGGGCTTCTCCCAGGTCCCTGCATCTTCCTGTTCCCTATCCTGGCCCCTCTCCTCTGTTTCCACTGCCATGCCCTGGGTACACAGCCTCTGCCCGCTCTCCTGCCCCAGCCAGAGACTGCCCCCTGCGGTGCCTCCTCCACACCACCACCAGGTGTCCACCAGGACAGGTCTGACCCTGCCACCCCCACCCACCCCAACAGAGGGTGGGTGTGCACACACACATTCAACACACACACAACATACACACCGAACACACACACACAATTCACACAACACACACCATACCCAGCAAGACACATACCAACACAACACACACACAACACACAACACAGCCAACACACACAGCACACACCCACAACACACACACGCAACACACAACTCACACACAGTACACCCAACAAACACACTCTATACCCAACAACACATATTCCAACACACAACACATGCACACAACATAGCCAACACACACAAACCCAATCAATACATCACACAATACACACCCAACAAACAGCCACGACACACACACCCAACACACACACAACTCACACACAACACACCCAACACATCCAACACACACACCCAACACACACATCACACAACTCACACACAACACATACCCAATACACACACAACACATACATACACACACACACACACATGCTCCTGTTGGCCCCTCATGATGTTCAGAATAACACCTCTAAGCCATCCCAGCCTGATGTACAAAGCCCGCCACAGCCCAACCCTCTCCAAAGATGACACATTTAGGGACTATTTGAAATAAACTATCACTTGCAGTCAAAAGACGTTTTCAGTGGAATATTTTGTGGTTGTGTTTATCTGTTCTGTAGGCAACAACAAAACATATACACGCACATACACACGCATACACATATATACACACATACATATATATACATATATGCATATACACACATACATATATACATATACACAGATATACATGCACATACGTATACACACACACAAACACACACATACACATATGCACACACATATGAAGTATAACACATCTGTGTAGGGAGAGAAGGGGAAATTGTTCAAAGGCGGGCTGTCTGTCCTTATAACTATGGAGTGGAGGAAGCCGTGAGGTTCCCATAGACACTGATGTAGTAGATATACTAGCTCAGTCGCCATCTTGGTTATAACTCATCACAGCAGCTGTAATCCCTGATTTATCTATCTGTGACTGAAGGAAGATTCTTCCAGGGCAGGGGTCACGGCTTCATCTGCGTGTACTGGCTGGTCAGCACAGGGTGTGAGCTGGGCTTGAAACCCCTATAATCTATACGGAACCAGGATCTGAGAGCTCTCCTGTCCTGGGGAATGGAATGGGGAGTGGTGAGGGGTTGTGGTCCTTAGTAATTTGGGTGTGGACCTCCATAAACCTGCATTTGCAAATAGCTCCTAAAACTAACTTGTGGTAAGCTTCCAAAACCCTTCAGGCAGAATGCTTTTTGGGCATGTGGGTGCTCCTTAAGCCAATCCGCAGCTGTGTGGACTTCTTGGAGACATTGAAGCAGGGGCAGGCCTAGGGGAGATGGCTGGAATCTTGTGATGGGATTTACAGTCTTAGAAAGGCCTGATTGTCCCCAAAATATCTTCCCCTGCTAAACTTGTCATCACATCTGAAATCCTCCCTCTGGTTGTGGCTGTGGGTCTCAGCCCTAGCTACACCTTAGAATCACCTGCAAAGCTCAAGCCGGATGCTCGAAGCTTCCACCAAAGATTCGAGTTCCATGGTCTGGGGTAGGACCTGGGCATCAGTTCTTTAAAAGCTCTCCAGATGATTCTAAGGGGTGGTCAGGATTGAGACCCCCTCACTGACACGCCAGGAGCCACAGAGCAGTGGGTCCTCTTCATGTTTCTCCACCCGCATTCACGAGATTGTTTCAAGAGAGTTCCTATTACTGAGCTGCCAGTGGTACCTGCTTTCATTTTCATTTTAAAATAATAAATATATGGAATAATTATTTCAAGATTGTCCCCTTAGAGCTTGCTACCTCTAAGTACTCACGAGTGAGGCCCTGTGGCCCTCAGCAGAGGAAGGCTCAGATTTTTGCCATTCAGTTTGCTAAGTACAGCCAGGGGAAAGTACTTCTGACAGCCACAGAATTTTATTTTATTTTTTATTTTTTATATTTTTTTAAGACACAGGGTCTCATCTGGTCTTGAACTCCTGGCCTCAAGTGATCATCCTGGCTCAGCCTCCAGACATTATTCTTAGTCTTAGTTTTATATGGATTAATTTATACCCAGAATGGATATTAGCTAAATAAATAACGCACTTGAAATACTGACATTTATGAAGAAAATGATTATGTTATTTTTCTGATTATATTAAGTATTCCTCAAATATTTTACCAATTACATTCATTGAATTGAAACTCTTAAAGGACATCAGTCTCTGGTATCTCAAAATCTTGTCTAAAAGAGAAAATATAGTGATTCTTCTATCCAATTGCTTTTTCTGTTACTAATAAAACTCAACAAAAGAGACATCTCTCTTACCATTTTCGGAGAAAATATAAAAATTTTAGAGAACTGAGTTCATGATCCATTCCTGATGCCCTAAGGATGATTCACTTCAAGCTGCATTTTACCATTTGTTGTTTGCTCAAATCAAACACAATATAACAGGTCATTTTAAGAATGGTTTGTCGATAAATTGTGCTTTCTCATGTGAAAGTGGGGCATGGTGGCTCAGGCCTGTAATCCCAGCACTTTGGGAGGCCAAGGTGGAAGCATCACTTGACCCTAGGAGTTGGAGGCCAGTCTGGGCAACATAGCGAGACAACAAAAAATTAAAAACAAAAATTAGCCATATGGGGTTGTAGCTACTCAAGAGGCTGAGGCAGGAGGATACCTTGAGCCCAGGAGTTTGAGGCTGCAGTGAGCTATGCTCGCACCACTACACTCCAGCCTGGGTGACAGAGCCACATCGTCTCTAAAAAAAAAAAAAAAAAAAAAAAAGGCCAGCCACGGTGGCTCACACCTGTAATCCCAGCACTTTGGGAGGCCAAGGCGGGCGGATCACTTGAGGTCAGGAGTTCAAGACCAGCCTGGCCAACACGGTGAAACCCTGTCTCTACTGAAAATACAAAATTAGCCGGGCATGGTGGCGCATGCCTGTAATCCCTGCTACTCGGTAGCCTGAGGCAGGAGAATTTCTTGAACCCAGGCGGCAGAGGTTGCAGTGAGCTGTGATCACACCACTGCACTCCAGCCTGGTAGACAAAGCAAAACTCTGCCTCAAAAAAAAAAAAAGAAAAAGAAAAAATAATGTCAAATTTGTCAGAATCAAAATGGAGTCACTTGTGTCAAACCCTGACAACATGGCGGTGGGAAAAACCATGAAGGAAGGGTTTTCATGCACAATTGTCTGATAACAAAAAGTATCACACATACACAAAAAAACTGCTCAAATCAGGCCACTGCAACCTTACACAAAAAATAACTTCTGTGAGGAAATCTGCCCAGCAACTGCCTTGGACTGATGCCACCCTTGTTACTGAACCATGTAGCCAAGGATAATTGTTTCAGTACAACTTATGTAACCCTCATTTTGCTTTTAAAAGCACTTGTTTTCCCGCGCCTCTCTGAATATGCCCATAGTTTATCACGGCACACATATTCAGCACTGTAATGCCCATTCCTAAATAAACTCATTGTCTTTGGAGAAACTTCCTGTTATTCAGACTCACACTCATGTAAAAATTAAACTATGTTAAATAGCACAAGCCACTCATTAAGTGAGAATGCATCAAATTATGATCATTAATATGACATTCAAAACACTTTGGAAGACATCCTTTAATACACTGATCTAAAGATACTAACATTAAGATAAGGTGTGCTCAATGGCACGTAAAAATACTTTATCTTAAAGGAGAGTTTTCATATCATACTTTGCGTGAAAGAGGTTCACAGGCCACTTTCGAGAAACAGCATCTTTTCTTTAACTCGATCATCAGAAACACACAGTATCTTGTTGAACAGAGACTTCAGGTTCCCACCCAAACCCACAAAACAGTATGCAAGAGAAATGCCAGGCTCCTCTCGTTTTTGAGACAGAGTCTCGCTTCTTCACCAAGGCTGGAGTGTAATGATGCCATCCCGGCTCACCGCAACCTCCGCCTCTCCGGTTCAAGCAATATATCCTGCCTCCGCCTCCCCAATAGCTGGGACTACAGGAATGTACCACTGCATCCAGCTAATTTTTGTATTTTTAGCAGAAAGCAGGTTTAACCCTATTGGCTAGACTGGTTTTGAACCTCCTGACCTCCAGTGATCCACCCACCTTGGCCTCCCACCATGCTGGGATTACAGGAATGAGCCACAGCGCCCCGCCAGACCCCCATATTTTTAATAAGCACCCAAAATTATGCTGATGAACCTGGTGTAGCAAACACCTATCTTGTTACAACGCAGATCTAGTGTGTATGTAATTTGTGGGTTCTTGGTCTCACTAGCTTCAGGAATGAAGCCACGGATCCTAACGGTGATAGTTCTTAAAACGCAGTGTATCTGGAGTTTGTTCCTTCTAACATTCAGATGTGTTGGACAGTTTTTTCCTTCTGGTGGGTTCGTGGTCTCCCTGACTCAGGAGCAAAGCTGCACACATTTACGCATGAGTACCACAGCTCTTAAAGGGAACATGTCTGCAGTTGTTCTTCCTGGTGGGTTTAGTAAGCTCCCTGGCATCAAATATAAAGCTACAGATTTTCATGGTGGGTATCATACCTCATAAAAGCAGTATAGCCACAGAAAGTAAGCAGCAAGAACTTATTACAAACAGCAAAATAACAAAGCCACCACACTGCATACATAACACCAAGGAGACTCACAACTAGCAGCTCCGGCAGCCTGCTTTTATTCTCTTATCTGGCCCCACCCACATCCTGCTGATTGGCCCATTTTACTGAGAGCCGATTGGTCTGTTTTACAGAGAGCTGATTGGTCCGTCTTGACAGGGTGCTGATTGGTGCCTTTACAATCCCTGAGCTAGACACAAAAGTTCGCCACCTCCCCACTAGATTAGCTAGATACAGTGTCAATTGGTGCATTCACAAACCCTGAGCTAGACACAGAGTGCTGATTGGTGCATTCACAAACCTTGAGCTAGACACAGAGTGCTGATTGGTGTATTCACAATCCCTAGCTAGACATAAAGATTCTCCAAGTCCCCACCAGATTAGCTAGATACAGAGTGCCGACTCGTGCATCCACAAACCCTGAGCTAGACACAGGGTGCTGATTGGTGTGTTCACAAACCTTGAGCTAGACACAGAGTGCTGATTGGTGCACTCACAATCCCTTAGCTAGACACAAAGGTTCTCCAAGTCCCTACTAGACTCAGGAGCCCAGCTGGCCTCACCCAGTGGATCTCGCACCGGGGCGCAGGTGGAGCTGCCCTCCAGTCCCGCGCCGTGCGCCCACACTCCCTCAGCCCTTGGGCGGTCGGTGGGACCGGGCACCGTGGAGCAGGGTGCGGTGCTCGTCGGGGAGGTTCAGGCCACGCGGGAGCCCGCGGCGGGGCGGGGACTCAGGCATGGCGGGCTGCAGGTCCTGAGCCCTGCCCCGCGGGGAGGGCGCTAAGGCCCGGCGAGTAGTCGAGCACAGCAGCTGCTGGCCCAGGTGCTAAGCCCCTCACTGCCCGGGGCTTGCGGGCCAGCCAGCCGCTCCGAGTGCGGGCCCGCAAAGCCCACGCCCACCCGGAACTCTAGCTGGCCCGCAAGCGCCGCGCGCAGTCCCAGTTCCCGCCCGTGCCTCTCCCTCCACACTTCCCCGCAAGCCGAGGGAGCCGGCTCTGGCCTCGGCCAGCCTAGAGAAGGGCTCCCACGGTGCAGCGGCGGGCTGAAGGACTTCTCAAGCGCGGCCAGAATGGGCGCCGAGGCCGAGGAGGCACCGAGAGCGAGAGAAGGCTGCGGGGGCTGCCAACACGCCGTCACCTCTCACTAGGGGCAGAAAGAAGCCGGAATAGCATGTTTGCTGGCAGGGGAAGGAACTGGCTAGGTAGAAGGAGGCCAGATCTGAACGTAGTCCTGCCCTGGAAGATCCTAGAAAGCTGGGGTAAAGACAAGAAAGCCAAAAGGGATGAAGGTTTAGGCGAGGCTTAAAGATGCAATGCAGTAGACCCAATTACTTCTCTCAGATGTGTCTCTTATTATGTGACCTTGGAAAGCTACTGACCTCAGGTTCCTTGTCTGTATAATGGGGATTTAAAAAAATCCATGTCCTCAGATTGCCATAAGGATTAAGTAAAATCATCTAGGTAAGGTATTTAAACCCAAAGCAGCTAAACATAAACTGGGAACCCAAAGAGAGGCTGAGAATGGTTCTGAAGAGTGATTTTGGCTGTCTTTGACCTGTCTTACTGACATCATATTTTGTGAAACTACCTACCTGTATGTTTTCCTGTTCTTTTAGGGATGGACAATTTCTTCATAAATCCCACCAGTCTGGGATCCCATGTCATTTCACTAGGCTGGTCCTTCAATAATTAAACAGTCTCTCCAAGCCTGGAAATTATTATTTTTTTTGAGGTGGTCAAGTTGGAGCATTTAGTGAATAAGACTAGACAATGCTGTGTTTTTAACATAGTTTCTGCAGGATTTTCTGTGTGAAGATGATGTTCTAGAGAAAGGGAGTTTTATGTTGCCAACCTCTATTAAGTGCGCAAAGAAGTGAGGTTGGGGGTTGGGAGCTGCACATGCTGAGATCTTTGATTTAATTCTCACTGAAAGCAATCTTTAACATCTTTCCACGATGAAAATGTAATTGTTAGCTAGGCTTACAAATTGGAGGCACAATTCTAAAGACCATAGAATAACTCACTGGAAGCATGCAAGCTGGTAATGAGATTAGAGGCTCAACTCTGAGACATCACAGGGAATAAAATATATATTCAAATGCCCTCCTGTATCTTTCAGGAAGCCAGGGATGGGCTCCCAGTGCAAATAGATGTTATGCAAATACAGTGTGCATATATTAGAGAAGTGATGAAAAATAGAAAGTAATCTTGAGACCTCCCTTTTCCTTAAAGAAAAGATGTGGCTGTTTCTGAATTGCTCCCCTCCAAGGACGCCTCTGCCCCCTCTCCGCCTGGCTGGCTTTGCAGAGGTTGAAGGGAAGACCTGGGAAGACACATGCAAATGAACCCCGCCGGGCTGCTGGGCAACGAGGGTGCTCAAGATGCAAACTGAGCTGCAGCAATAAAGTCAAAAGGAGGAGAAAGAATGAAACGGTGGTTTTCATCTTTATCCCTTGTCGTTAGGCATGGTTCTTCTCAATCTATTGTTAGACTTGATTGTGTTTCCGTATCTCTACTTGCCTTTCAGACGCAATGCTCTTCACTGCTTAAAATGATTAGTATATTCCAGCAGCAATTCCTACAGCAGAAGTATGCCGCATGGTGGTAATTCTTTGTGTCAGAAGAATGAAATCGGGAGTTTGGGACATTCCTGTTCATAAAGTTACATATCCATGGGTTCTGTCTCCTTGATGATTTTTTCTCTCTAGTCTATATTCTGACTAAAATCCAGCATGAGAATTGTGTAAGCGAATTTCATAAGAAGAACATGAGTCATCTGCTATGAGAAATCCAATGTGCCATTTAAAATTTACTAGAAAGGTCTAAAACCAGTGCCTTTCAAATCGTGAACTCACCTGGGCTTGGTGGTGCGAGTCTGTCGTCCCAGTTACTCAGGAGGCTGAGGAGGGAGGATTGTTTGAGGCCACAGTGCACCATCAACATGTCTGGAAATAGCCATTGCACTCCAGTCTGGGCAACACAGGGAGATGTCATCTCTAAAAAAATGTTTTTTAATATTATGAACTCAATCTGTAAGTGAGCTCGTTACCATGAAGAAAGTTTCCCTTTAAATGGGTGAGGCTGGGCGCGGTAGCTCACGGTTGTAATCCCAGCAATTTCCGAGGCTGAGGCGGATGGATCACTGGAGGTTGGGAGTTTGAGGCCAGCCTGGCCAACATGGTGAAACGCTGTCTCTGTTAAAAATACAAAAATTAGCCAGGCGTGGTGGTGCATGACTGTGATCCCAGCTACTTTGGAGGCTGAGGCATGAGAATCACTTGAACCTGGAAGGTGGAGGTTGCAGTGAGCTGAGATGGCGCCACTGCACACCAGCCTGGGCGACAGAGCAAGACTGTCTCAAAAAAAAAAAAAAAGGGGGGGTGAGATTCTCAGCAAACTATCGCAAGGACAAAAATCCAAACACCGCATGTTCTCACTCATAGGTGGGAATTGAACAATGAGAACACATGGATGCAGGAGGGGGAACATCACACACCGGGGCCTGTTTTGGGGCGGGGGAATGGGGGAGGGAGAGCATTAGGAGAAATACCTAATGTTAAATGACGAGTTACTGGGTGCAGCACACCAACATGGCACATGTCTACACATGTAACTAACCTGCACGTTGTGCACATGTACCCTAAAACTTAAAGTATAATTTAAAAAATTTAAAAAAAAAAGGGTGAGAAAATGGGGAAAGTAACAAATGGTCTGATGTCTGGGTGTGACCCCAAACCTTATTTTCCAGGTAGCATTCTCTAGAAGGGATAGAAACCATGGCCACCTAGTGAGTGTTAGAGACACTGTGCAGAGCTCACATTGATCTCAGTCAGGGATGCAGTGGTGATTGCTGACAATATACCACTAAAATAATGGCAAAAACCGCAATTACTTTTGCACCAACCTATACAAACTTCTTCTACTTTGAAAACAAAACTGTGGTGGAATTAAATATTGATGTGTGAACTTATCAGCGATTACCAGATGATCAGTTTCTAGAATATCATCTTTCCTTTCCCACAGTTGCCAAGAGCCTGATGATTCATGATCTCTTAGGCTAACAAATCTAAATTTCAAAAAGATAATAGAAACCCTGACCACTTAGTTACTTCCCAATGCACAGAGTACTTGCTTATCTTTTTTTTTTTTTTTTTTTTTTTTTTTGAGATGGAGTCTCGCTCTGTCGCCCAGGCTGGAGTGCAGTGGCGTGATCTTGGCTCACTGCAACCTCCGCCTCCCAGGTTCAAGCAATTCTCCTGCCTCAGCCTCCCGAGTAGCTGGGATTATAGGCGTCTGTCACCACATTTGGCTAATTTTTGTATTTTTAGTAGAGACAGGGTTTTACCATGTTGGCCAGGCTGGTCTTGAGCTCCTGACCTCAGGCGATTTGCCTGCCTCAGCTTCCCAAAGTGCTGGGATTATAGGTGTGAGCCACAGCGCCTGGCCTTTGTTTATCTTTAGTTAAGAAACAGAGTATAGAAGAATTCTCTGCTCATATTGATGCTGTTCTTACTCTATTTGCTAGCTGGTAATAAAAATATGTTGAAGGAATGAGTGGTGAAAGGATGGAAAAATGTGGATAAAGAGGAACATTTGCAGGGAAATAACATATTACAGTTACAGAATATATGTTTATTACAGTTGGATCAATATATTTTTAAAAAAATGAAAAAAATATGTGAAAAAACTGCTTAATTGGGTAAAGTCATAGGTTTTGCGTCTGGATTTATAATTAGCAAACTGAAAAAAAAAGACAACTTCCAGATCCCCAATAAAGTTACTGATGCATTTAGGAGTTTCATTTCCTTAGGAAGTGTGCTCATTCATAACATGTTGTCATAGAAACTTTTTTTTTTTCCTGAGGCAGACTCTTGCTCTGTCTCCCAGGCTGGAATGCAGTGGCGCAATCTCAGCTCACTGCAACCTCTGCCTCCCTGGTTCAAGCAATTGTCCTGCCTCAGCCTCCTGAGTAGCTAGGATTACAGGTGTGCACCACCACGTCTGGCTAATTTTTGTATTTTTAGTAGAGAGGGGGTTTCACCACGTTAGCCAGGCTGGTCTCGAACTCCTGACCTCGTGATCCACCCGCCTCATCCTCCCAAAGTGCTGGGATTACAGGCATGAGCCACCGTGCCCAGGAAGAAACTTTTTAAAAGTGTTGTTTTCCAGCCATTTTGTTGTTCCACTGAACGGCCTGGGAGAATACCCTCCAAGTACTGGGTTAAGAAGAGAGAATACCAAAGTCCCCCACACCTTTGCTTCCCTCCTTCCCACGCTCCCCAACTAAGAGAACTGTGTGTTCGTCCTTCCTCAGACAGAAGATTTCCTGGAAATACCTTTTGTTTGAAAACACTGACTGTGCCTCACAGCTCAGAGCTAAGAAAAGAGGCCAAGTCTGGCTATTAAGGAATAAACCTTGTGAAGCAGGCGTTGGTGGAAGACACTGTCCGCTTCCTGTACAGTGGAGAGTCTGGGATAATTTGGGATATGGGCAAACATGTTCACCCACCTTACTAAAATGTGCTTAACTTGATATTGATATGAAACAGTTATTAAACATTTGAGAATGGCCTGAATAATGTGCGCCGGCCTGTCCGTTTTCCTGTAAGTCTCTGATTTGAAGGAGGGTATTCCCAGATGTGGTGTCGTTGTCCCCTGGTCAGCCACCCTTCCTCATTTCTTACACCTCATGAACGAAAATGAACAGCCACGGCCACAGGCAAGTGAAATCCATCGGCTATGCCCAGTTTCTCCCCAATATCCTTAGCTATTAATGTCACTCATTTTTTGGAAGCCACTTCAAATCCTTTTTGGAATAAAATAGTTATTATACATCATTGAGCAGTAGGTGTGCAGTTGCATTCCAGGAGGAATTACATTTCTTCTCATGTTGGACTCAACATCACTGGAATTAATTCATTAGAAAACACTCTTTTCAATTCCATTTTCTCTCGCTTTGAAAAATACAGACTAAGTGTCAAACTTGTTTCCCTGAAAGGGGCCAAAAGCAGCAAAATTAATCACCAAGAGCTATTTTCATTGAATATAAAGTTACATAAAGGCCTCTGAAGACCAGACAGTGTTTAAACTATATGCGGGTGTGGTTATGGATGTGAAATATGTGGATAGCATGTGAGCGCTGGCTACATGCCCGAAGCATGCCCACACAGCCGCCTGGGCAGACGAGCTATCTCAGAGGGATTGTCTTTAAGCAAAACCATCTGTCACTGTGGTCCAAAAGGCGCGGCATGAGCTCTGCCACAGCAGCGACTTTGGGGTTGAGCCTGTCTCTGAAATGCAGTGTACTGGCAAACTGAGAAAACAATCTTACTTTCTGTCAGACTGGGATTTGCTGACGCTGAACTTGGAGTGGAGTTTTAGAAGGAGTATAATCAGCATCAAAAGAGATGCCAGTCTGCTGAACTTTAAAATAGGTTATTAACAAAAAGCAAAATCTGCAGAGTAGTCTGCGATTGCATAGCTTCCAAAGTATAGCTGTGGTTTAGCCCAAAGTTGGTCATCAGAACTAGCACTGGTTTCTAGAATATATACAGGGGGATGGGGGTAGGAGTAGCAACAAAGATCTTCAAGCATAAACTTACACATACACATACACACACACACACACACACACTCCTTGCTCAGAGGTCTATATAAGCATTATAAGTAACTTTAATTATTTTAAAAATAAGGAAAAGCAAATGTTCCAGTTATTCTTAGTTCTTCATCAATCATTGACCCAAATTGGATGTTTTCGGAAAGCAGTTTATATCTCCTTATAAATGTATTTACTTATTTTTTGAATCTTGGCCTTGTGACTTCTGCTCTGGGCTGAGGTCAGGTCGTTTTGAGTGTTTGAGTTAGAGAACCCCTGGGAAAGGAACTTCAATTATTTTTCTGTCTGGATGAGTGTCAGAACAATTCATCATAACAACTGGTACGAATGCACGTAATTCTGTAAAAGTCGCTCCTTGAACCAAGACATTGGCATTTGTTCCATTGCCTTGAACTTTTTTTCTGGTTTCAGTTCACCAAGCCCTTTTTGCTTGGGCAGAATTTAAGCCCCGTGGGTGAGGTATACACAGTCACAAGACAATGAGTAGCAACAATTCGACAATTAGCTGAAATACTTGGGAGGTGCAGACAATTAAGGTAAGTAATTTGGGCTGCACTTGGAAGCAAATATTCTGGCCAACTAGAGAGAAGGAGAGAAGGGTAAAATAGAGGCTTTCACTGAAATGCCCATACCTGCATTGAGCAAACCTGGGTGAACATATAAATACACACAAAAGCCAGAAGGGAATCAGGACGTGATTATTTGTTTCAGACAGAAGGGTGACGTGGGACTCTAATGTTCTCTTGGCTTGTAGTAAGGTATCTTCAAACATCATCTCGATGTAAATTTTCCCCCACTTCCTTAGACTAACCTTCAAGAAGAATTAAAATTGTGTCAGTGATAAAAGGAGAAGTAAGCCAGGGTTTCCCATCCCCCAATAATGCTCTTGAGATTCTAATAGAAAGGCCACAGGAGGGAGGAAACAAGAAGTTTACCCTGGAAAGAGAGGAAAGGAAGAGCCTAAAGTCACTGGGAGGGTGTGGAAGGGAACATGGTGGCAGGGGTGGCTTTGGAGGTGGGTGGGGAGGGACTTGGGAATGGAGAGGGCCGACTGGCAGCCAGCATACACCAACCACCACCTCATGGAAGCCAAACCATGTCTGTGGATCATGCATTGCAGGCAGTGAGAAGCTGCTTGTCCTGTCCTCATTGGGCCAGGCCCTCCAAGGGCACCCACCTGCCCACTGCCTATGGATGGTATGCCCATCTCTGCCCAAACACCTCGATGAGCCCCCTCACAATGGCCTCATGTTACTTGCCTTGAATGGCTCAAACCATACAATTCCCTCCAAAACAGCATACAATTCCCTCCAAAACAGCATGGGTCCTTGCTATTCAGAAATGCTGTTGGGGACAAATCCAAGCCCCCTTATGTGGGTAAGGCTAAGTGGTGAAATATACCACCTGCTACAAATTCATGTCCATTCAAATAAATGTATAGAAATTTAGTCAAACCATATCTTTCCAGGAGCCTCTCCGCTCCATCAGGTAAGGGACAATGGAATTCAGCCTTGGTTTTCTGAACCAACAGCTCTTGCTCACCTAGTCCTAAGTGGCTGAATGTGTGATCAGATTGAGGCTGCAAAAAATGAACAAGATGCTGGACACATAGATATGAGCAGATATCAAATGAGGTAGACATCAACCCAAAACTCCCTCCACAACTCCTTGAATGAGGCTGAAGGACCTCAATCCCTTTTTCACACACTCACGGAATAAAATCATGACTGGGTACCAGTCTAGAAAGTCTCTATGTTATGTGATACTACTCATGCAAATACAGTCAGGACAACATCTCTGCCCTGCAGGGCATTAATGATTTTACAACCAACATTCACTATAGTTAAATGATCACTCAAGTCCTTTTCAGCTAGAATGTTAAGTGATTCTATTAAGTTTACTTGAATATCTATCTTGGGGCATTTGGGTGTAAAATGCAATATTCTGGACTTAATTTGCTGAGGGGCTGTTGTGTGTTTTGGTGAGGGGCATGCAACAAGCCAGGGCGTCTCAGGAATAAGGAGGCTTTAGAAACAGCTGCTGCCACACTCGTCAACACCCTGTGGATACTTCCATGAAGCTATATTACAAGTTCATGGCTCTATGAACTTGTATTACATACAAGACACAGTGTTGATTAATTTTGGTTCTTTTCCTTGACCTTCGACTCAGTGAATAATAACTAGTTTGGGACTAATTTTAATGTGCTTGATAAAAAAATCATAGCCACAAATGTTTAAATAGTATCTGAGCCTTAATATCACTGTGAGAATGTCAGCAGAAATAAATGGTTTCTCAAGGCAGACAACAGGTTCTTAAAACCATGTTTAGATTATCTTTATTAAAAGGAGTAGAAATATAAATATTATCCCTCTCCAACTTTTACTTGGGAAAATTTTCAAATATTCAGAAAAGTTGACAGAATAGTATAATAAAGGCCTAAATCCTTTCTCTTAGATACAATTATTCACGTTTTGCTATATATGCTTCCTAGATTTACCCACTTAATTATTTATTTATTTATTGTGAAGCCAGTTGAAAGACAGTTTTAACATCACACTTCATTACTGAGAACTTCAGCAAACAAAGCCTAAAAACAAGAACACTTCCATTACAAAATACCATTATTGTACTTAAGAAAATAAACACAACTTCTGAAATATCATTTGTATCCTGTTTATATTTAAGTTTTCCCAGTGGTCTAAGACTTATTCTCTATGCTTATTATATAGTTTCATTTTTATGTACTAGGAGTGACTTCACTGACACTTGGCTTCACTCTGTTGTCAGAAAGCAGGACTTGAGAGGCTATTCTAATACTGAAATTACCATGTTGGTAAATGCACTTCTAAAATCAGTTACTTGGAGGCGTTTTATTTGAGAACAAAGTTTACCTGGCAGGATCATTAGAAATCTACGTTGGTGAACTGTCTATATGTATAGGCATATAGCCAACAATTAGCAAATGTTACCTTGAAATTTTCTCAGCCCAGATCACCGTGGAGCAACCTTACGGAAGACGATGTTGGAGTCTTGATGTCCTGCTGTTCATGCATTAGAACAGCTCCCCGTCTACTGGAAATTTCAGTTGAAGATTCTCTTCATCCCATGACCAGACAGACATAAGATGTTCCTCAGATGTTGTTGTGAGGATTATCAGACTCAGACAAGAATTTTTACGTGAAAGGATGTCCATTCTACAATCCGAGTGCTCAGTTGCCACTTTTAAAAGCACGTGGAGGCCGGATGCGGTGGCTCACACCTGTAATCCCAGCACTTTGGCAGGCTGATCACCTGAGGTCAGCACTTTGAGACCAGCCTGAACAATACAAAAATTAGCTGGGCATGGTGGCCAGCGCCTATAGTCCCAGCTACTGGCGAGGCTGAGACAGGAGAATTCCTCGAACCCGGGAGGCGGAGGTTGCAGTGAGCCGAGATCGCACCACAGCACTCCAGCCCGGGAGACAGAGCGAGACTCCGTCTCAAAAACAAACAAAAAAGCACGTGGATACGCCCTCAACCAACAAGACAGGATACCTGCACTGCCCCTAGCCAGAGAACACAAACTTCACCATTTGCTCCTCTCAGGACACAGCAGTCTACAGAACAGAAAAAGGCCCTCCTCACAAGATTTACATGCTAGTGAGGATACAGGTCATGATACACGTTATCACGACGTTCACTCTGAAAAAACACAAAACACGTTGGGAAAGAGAATGACGGGCAGGTGGGCGGGGGGAGTGACCTCTTTCAGGTGGGTGGCCAAGAGCCCCTCCAAGGAGATGGTGAATTCTAGATGAGGGAGGAAGCCATTTGGGAGTGTGTCCAGAATTGATGGGTTTTTGGCCTCACTGACGTCAAGCATAAAGCCTCAGACCCTCACAGCAAGTATTACAGTTCTTAAAGGCGGCGTGGCTGGTGCTTGCGGTTAAGTGTTACAGGCCCTCAAAGGCGGCATGGCCGGAGTTTGTTCCTTGACATTCTGATGTGTTGGGTGTTTTTTCCCTCTGGGGGGGTTCATGGTCTCACCAGCGAGGAAAGCTGAGGACCTTCGTGGTGAGTGTTACAGCTCGCAAATGCACCGTGAACCCAAAGAACAAACAACAACAAAATTTATTACAAAAAGCAAAAAAACAAAGCTACCACAGCCTGAAAACGGACCGTGGCGGCGTGCCGCGCTTGCCTCAGGCAGCCTGCCTTTATTCTCTTATCTGGCCCCACCCACATCCTGCTGATTGGTCCATTTTACAGAGAGCCGACTGGTCTGTTTTACAGAGAGCTGATTGGTCCATTTTGACTATTTTGAGCCTCGGGGAGGCTCGGGAGGCGCAGGAGCCCACGGCGTGGGGGAGGCTGAGGCATGGCGGGCTGCAGGTCCCGAACCCTGCTCCGCAGGGAGGCAGCTAAGGCCCAGCGAGAAGTCGAGCACAGCAGCTGCTGGCCCAGGTGCTAAGCCCTTCACTTCCCCGGGCCGGCGGGGCTGTCGGGGCCGGCTGGTCGCTCCGAGTGCGGGGCCCGCCGAGTCCACGCCCACCCGGAACTCGCGCCGGTCCATAAGCGCCGCGAGCAGCCCCGGTTCCCGCCCGTGCCTCTCCCTCCACACCTCCCCGCAAGCTGAGGGAGCCGGCTCCGGCCTTGGCCAGCCCAGGAATGGGCTTCCACAGTGCAGCGGCGGGCTGAAGGGCTCCTCAAGCGCGGCCAGAGTGGGTGCCAAGGCCGAGGAGGCGCCAAGAGCGAGCGAGGGCTGTGAGGGCTGCCATGCCGGTACACTGTCACTTCTCAGAAGGACGCAGGGCAGAGTTTCAGGCTGGCTCTGTCACCCATGCTGGAGTGCAGTGGCATGATCTTGGCTCACTGCAACGTCTGACCCCTCTGAGTTCAAGCGATTCTCCTGTCTCAGCCTCCTGAGTAGCTGGGACTATAGGCGCCCGCCACCATGGCCAGCTAATTTTTGTATTTTTAGTAGAGACGGGGTTTCACCATATTGGTCAGGCTGGTCTCAAACTCCTGACCTTAGGACCCGCCTGGCATATCTAGGAGGAGTGGACTAGAGAATGTAGGAATGTGAGGGATGAGATGGAAGACTGGGGGGACGGCGTCAGGCGTAGGCCATGTAGAGGCCTTGCAGGTCAGGCGAAGGTTTTGGAGTTTAACTCTTGAGTCAGGAAGCGTTGGAGGGAAGCCATTTCCAACCCACATTTAGTAACTGAATGCACTTCGATGGTGTGCTTATCCATGGACCAATTTTCCTCTGCTCCTTTTTCTCTTCTACATTTTCCTAGGATCTAAATTCTAATTTATGCATTTTTTTATTGTATATATTTTGGCAAATCATCTTAAATCTTTTGTGGAATCAAATAAGACACATCTGTATCTACATATTTATAGCTATGTCCCTATCTATCCATGTGGTAAAAATTTTAAAGTTATATTACTTGTTTGGGGCTTATATTACTGGTGAATATGAAGACTGATGTCTGCTCAACACATGTCAGAACAAAGTTCAGGCACAGAAATTTTATTTCTATTCAGAATATAAGAAAATGCTGAATCAAAGTGTAACAATGATCTCTTATTGAATCTAACCATACAAAGGGATCCCATGTTTGTCGTAATGTAATAGTTCCAGAATAAATATTATTGGCAAGCATTATGTCACTATGTCTCGTCAATGTTGATCTCAAAATATTTCAGATTTGAACTCCAAACTTTCCTTATTTTTCATACATAGTTTCCACAAACAAGCTCACTAACTCTGCTCATGATAGCCTATAGAAAGTAGGCTGAGTGAATGTCTCAATGCGCTAATGAATGTAAAAAAAAAAGTTTAGCTTCAACTCCTAAAATAAATCACTTCATGTATTAATGCATTCATACCATTAGGGAAAATACAGTGGGTTGTGGAGCAGGTACAAATGCTGTGACTGTCCATAGGCTGTTTGCTGAATAACCTCACAGCTTACGTATTTAAGAATGTTTACTGGAATGCCAGTATGTGAAAAGCATAAAACTCCAGCGACCCACCCTCCGTCAGTCCATAGGATTATTTGGTTCTGTGACTAATGTTGATCATCTTGGGTTTTCATTGATTCTTAGGAGTCCGGGTGTTCAAAAACAGCAACTTAAGTTTAGCAAATAGCTCAGTGGCAGCTTAGGCCTTGAGTCACAAATTCCATCCTTAGAAAGCCAGCAGCATGAAACATAATTCATATTGGCAAGAACTTGCAGAAATCAGAAAGTCAAGAATGAGGCTGGGAGTGCTTTGGAGTAGCAAGGCTGAGAAGGAATACAGATAAAAACATTCATAGAGAATTCACATTGCTGAGTGTCTCGGTGGTCATCTGCAGTCCCCCCTTCTTTGTAGTTAAGCAAACAGTGAGTACAAGTGATGGGCCATGGCCACACAGATAGTTCATCTGCAGTGACAAGAGAAGTGACCATGGAGATAATTCAGAGAACTTGCTTAGATGAATTTTCAAATTACTGCACTAGTGCTTGTTCATTGCATTAAATTTGGAAAACACGGAAGTACACAAAGTCAGTAATCCTATTCTTGAGAGATGATCACCATGAACATTTTACTATGACCCATTTGAAGATGGTTTTTTTTTAAGATGATTTTAGGCCTAGGATATAGTGTCTGGAATTGGTGGGTTCTTGGTCTCACAGACTTAAAGAATGAAGCCACAGACCCTCATGGTGGCATTCATAGTTCTTAAAGACAGCATGTCTGGAGTTTATTCCTTTTGGTGGGTTCGTGGTCTCACTGGCTTTAGAAGTGAAACTACAAACCTTGGCAGTGAGTGTGTTACAGCTCTAGAAGGCGGTGCATCTGGAGTTGTTCGTTCCTCCCGATGGGTTCATGGTGTCACCGGCTTCAGGAGTGAAGCTGCAGACCTTCACGGTGAGTGTTACAGCTCATAAAGACGGCATGGACCCAAAGAGTGTGCAGCACCAAGACTGATTACAAACACCAAAAGAACAAAGCTTCCACAGAGTGGATAGGACACCGGAGCAGCCTGCTTTTATTCTCTTATCTGGCCCCACCCACATCCCTGCTGTTTGGTCCATTTTATGGAAAGCCGATTGGTCTGTTTTACAGAGCTGAGGTCCTTTTTGACAGGGTGCTGATTGGTGCCTTTACAACCCCTGAGCTAGACACAAAGGTTCTCCACGTCCCCACTAGATTAGCTAGATACAGAGTGTGGACACAAAAAGTTCTCCATGTCCCCACTAGATTAGCTAGACACAGAGTGTTGATTGGTGCATTCACAAACCCTGAGCTAGACACAGGGTGCTGATTGGTGTGTTTACAAACCTTGAGCTAGATACAGAGTGCCGATTGGTGTATTTACAATCCCTTAACTAGACATAAAGGTTCTCCAAGTCCGCACCAGACTCAGGAGCCCAGCTGGCTTCACCCAGTGGATCTCGCATCTGGGCCGCAGGTGGAGCTGCCTGCCAGTCCCGCGCCTGTGTGCCCACACTTGTCAGCCCTTGGGTGGTCGATGGGACTGGGCGCCGTAGAGCAGGGCGCGGCGCTCGTCGGGGAGGCTGGGGCAGTGCAGGAGCCCACGGCGTGGGGGAGGCTCAGGCATGGCGGGCTGCAGGGCCCGAGCCCTGCCTCGCGGGGAGACAGCTAAAGCCCGGCGAGAAGTTGAGCACAGCAGCTGCTGGCCCAGGTGCTAAGCCCCTCAGTGCCCGGCCGGCGGGACCTGCTGGCCGCTCCGAGTGCGGGGTCCGCCGAGCCTACGCCCGCCCGGAACTCGCGCTGGCCCGCAAGCGCCGCGCACAGTCCCGGTTCCTGCCCGCGCCTCTCCCTCTACAACCCCCCGCAAGCCGAGGGAGCCGGCTCTGGTCTCGGCTGGCCCAGAGAAGGGGCCCCCACGGTGCAGCGGCGGGCTGAAGGGCCCCCCAAGCGCGGCCATAATGGGCGCCCAGGCCGAGGAGGCACCGAGAGCTTGCGAGGGCCGCCAGCATGCTGTCACCTCTCAACATGGGCCTCCAGTAAAATCTGGATTTGATGATGGGTTGTGAAATTTTCCCTAATGTTCCATTACTGTCCCTTCACAAGATCAAGGGACGGCATTGTTCCCGTGGGAAGACCAGTGTTGGCTGGCTCTCGTCTTTCACTCATTTGCCCATTTAATAAATATTTAGTGAGCATTTGCCATGTGTCAGGCACTGTACTAGGCACTGGAAATACGGTTAGGAATGAGACAGTTGTCTAGTCCCTGCCCTCCTAGCGATTACACCGCAGCCAGGAAAACATAACAAACTCATTACAATTATGAACCAATGCAGGGCACCAGGAGACGGTATAATTGTGTCTCCTGACACATCCCAGACCAAGCAAGGCCTACGCTAGCATCTGCCTTGCTGCTCAGAGTGGCCGGCAGATGGTCATGAGCTCTGGCAGCCCGGCAGAAACGCAGAATCTCAGGCCCCACCCAGGCCTCCTGAATCAGAATTTACTTGGTAACAAGTTCCCAGGAAATTCACAGGCACTGGAGAGTCTGAAAAGCACTGGTCTAAAGGAAGAATGGGAATGAGCAGTCCAGGGCAGGGGTGGCAGGCATTCCACACTGAGGGCCTGTGAGCGGGTCCCTGGGGAAGGCACAGGGCCGTTGGAGACCATGAACACCAGTGTGCTGGAACCCGGGCCGGACCAGTGAGTGGATTTGCAGGGGCCCGGCCAAGCAGGGCCTTGGTGTGGGACTAGCCCTCCACCCAGGGCCTTTCCAGACCCTCTTGGAGCCTTGTTTCTTGAATCTAAGGAACAAGGATCTCCCTGTCCCCTTGGGCTGTTGTGAGGATCAAATCAGTTACTGTATCTGCAAACATTCACAACTCTGAGGTCCCATCCCTTTTGTTTTGAAGAGAAACAGAGAAGAGCTGTAGTTTTTTTTTTTTTTTTTTTGAGACTGAGTCTTGCTCTGTTGCCGGACTGGAGCGCAGTGGTGCGATCTCGGCTCACTGCAACCTCCGCCTCCCAGGTTCAAGCGATTCTCCTGCCTCAGTCTCTCAAGTAGCTGGGACTACAAGTGTGCACCACCACACCCAGGTAACTTTTGTATTTTTAGTAGAGATGGGGTTTTACTATGTTGTCCAGGAGGGTCTTGATCTCTTGACCTCGTGAGCTGCCCACCTCAGCCTTCCAAAGTGCTGGGATTACAGGCGTGAGCCACCACACCTGGCCAAGAGCTGCAGTTTTGTGGGAAGCTCACTGAACTATCTTACCGTGTCTAGAACAACTGCTGAGGCAGAACTTAACATGCAAATCATGGTGCTCTTGTAAACAGCTTGTCAATCACATGAGGCTCCAAACTCCTTGCAAGCACAGATAGTGATTAAAAAAAAAAATAAAAGACCCTCTTTAGCTCTCCCTTTAGGGGTTGGGGGAGGTAAAGTAGGTGGGGTGGGAGAGGGGGTTACAAATAGTGGAACCTGTGGGGTTAGGGCACCCTGGGGCGAGCATCTCCTCTCCCACCCCACACTCACTGCTCACCTCCTGGCTCTAGAAGTTAATCTTATTTTTCAGACTATAGCAGCACGGAGTTCCCTATTGTGTTGTCAGATGCCAGATGAGTAGGTCACAGACAGAGACCTGGAGGGATGCCTCCGGGGTTTTGCATTGTCTTGCTGTTCACTTTGAGGGCCGGGGAGAACACATAGAACTTAAAAAAAAGCTAAATCCAAACAAAACTACCACCGAAGAAAAATAAACAGGACACCCCAACACCCCCTCAGAAGAAAAGGCCTTGAGTTTCATGAAGTCTTTTATTCTCATTATTTACTCTTATTAATCGGATTGAAGTATCTGGTTTCCAAAGCTCTTACCTACAACAGGACTCCTCCTTGGCTACACCTTTGTAATTCTAAACCAGGCTTGGAAGATGGGCAGGTGACCCAGAGAGCTCCTCTTTGTTCTCCATTTGCACATTCTATTATGTAGCCTCCCGCAATGAACTAGCTCATCAGCTGGATTTACAACCCGAAACCACTCCGTCTCCTCTGTATCTGTTACTGACATTTATATAACACAAGTCCTCAAAGGTGTTTACTGCACACTTTCAGCCATGTACCATTTTATTTGTCCTCACAACAGTCGTGGGCTTTTTAATTTTTGTTTTAAATTCCCATTTCACGGAAAGGCAAATGGAGGCAAAGAAACATCAAGTGAGCAGTTTGAGACTATATGATTGGAGTTCATCAGTGGCTGGGTAGGACCAATAGTTAGAAGTAGTCAGAAGTTCTAATACTCACTTCAGAGATTCTTTTATTATCATCATTATTAGAAAATTATTTTTTGTCTATTTAATATCTTTAATAATTATATCATTTCTAAAGCTTTCCACAAAAGGGCATTGCAGTTCTTCAATTTATTGCAGACATATCTTTAAAAAAAAGTCAGTCCTAATATTGAAGCTATAATACAGATTTTAAAATTATTGTCATTATACTGTAAACCACAATGAAGAACATCTTATTTATTTATTGAGACAGCGTCTCACTCTGTCACCCAGGCTGGAGTGCAGTGGCGCAACCTCAGCTCATTGCAACCTCTGACTCCTGGGTTCAAGTGATTCTTGTGCCTTAGCCTCCTGAGTAGCTGGGATTACAGGCACCCTCCACCACGCTCAGCTCATTGTTTTGTATTTTTAGTAGAGACAGGGTTTCACCATGTTGGCCAGGCTGATTTTGAACTCCTGACCTCAGGTGATTCTCCCTCCTTGGCCTCCCAAAGTGTTGGGATTACAGGTGTGAGCCACCGCGCCAAGCCAGAACATCTTATTTAAATGAAAAGGGATTAATATTTCACCAGGCAATAAATGTAGCAGTTTCTTTTCTCTCCATATCTACAACCAATGGTGATATTTTATAAGCTAATTCTAAAGAGAAGCATTTTTTTTTAAATGATAAAAGCCACGTTTTGCTCAGAACTACTACTGTTCACATACCACATAAGTTGTTTTACAGCAAATACCAGTTTGCCAGGCTCCAGATGGCAAAATGCTAAGTTGTGAGTTCAGTATTGTCCAGCTAGTTGTTTTTCTGAGATCCGGCAGCATGTACTGTTGAGAGAGGACACTGTGTTGCCGCCACTTCTCATAGCTGTCTACTATGGTAGACCATTCATGTCTTTAAAATGCAAGTCTTAGCAAAAAGCCTCCCACAAATTCAGTGGATATCACAATGTTCTGTTTGATAAAGTCAGTTGCTTCTTCAACTGTATTGTTGATTTCAGGTGCTGCTTTATTTGCTCATTTCTTAGTCTGTCTTTTTTTTTTTTTTTCTTTTTTGAGATGCAGTCTTGCTCTGTCATCAGGCTGGATTGCAGTGGCGTGATCTCGGCTCATTGCAACTTCTGCCTCCTGGGTTCAAGCGATTCGCCTGCCTCAGCCTCCCAAGTAGCTGGGATTACAGGCGCCCACCACCACGCCCAGCTAATTTTTGTAGTTTCAGTAGAGATGGAGTTTCACCATGCTGGCCAGGATGGTCTCGATCTCCTGACTTGGTGATCCACACGCCTCGGCCTCCCAAAGTGCTGGGATTACAGACATGAGCCACCACGCCCGGGCCTTAGTATGTCTTTTTGCTTTATGTACGTCTCTTTCAATTCTCTTCCAGTCAATCTGGAAGTCACTGCAGTTGCTGCAACCTTCCCAACTTTTGGGAGCAAAAATCCTGCATACCAGCCTGTCACGCCACACATTCCAATCTGGGTAGCTACTGAGTATTTCTCTGTAACACCATAGGTCTCCAACTGGGGCCAAACACTCAATTCCACCGCTGATGTCTTCTTGCATACTCAGTTAAATCCAACACTTCATAAGAGTCGTCATCACTTTCATATTCTTGGGGGCTGGGGTTAGAGGTCACCATGATACCACAGGTGGCCTGTTTTGGGGTGGTCCTGCCTGCCCTCCTCTTCCTGGCACTTTCAGAAAATAAGTAACAGAAAAATACTGAGAAGAAAATAATAATCTTATTAAGCAAATGGGCTTGTCACCGGTGGAGGATGTCCAGGTTCTTGGCATCTTGAACAAAGAATTGGACAAAACGCACAAACAAAGCAAGGAAGGAATGAAGGGATTTATTGAAAACGAAATTACATTCCACAGTGTGGGAGCGGCCCGAACATAGGGGCTCAAAGGCCCCGTTACAGAATTTTTGGAAGTTTAAATATCCCCTAGATGATTCCATTGTTTACTTCACTTACCCTCTACGTAAATGCAGAGGATGAAGTAAAGTTACAAAGTCACTTACAGCATACGCCCTATGGAGTGGATATTTCCTGTTACAGCCGAAGTGTGAATTGGCCTTATGTTCCCTGCCTCCTGACCCTATTTTCCTGCCTCAGGCTCACTGCTCAATGTACACGGAAGCAATACCATGGTACTGCCTTTGAGAAAAGAAAGACTTTATTGCAAGACCAGCCAGCAAGGAGACAGGAGGCAGGTTCAAATCTTCCTCCCTGATTTGGGGTCTGGGGCAAGTTCTAAGGAAGCAGAGGGCAAAGGAAAGGACTTAGAAATGTTGGCTGGGCAGGATCTGTTTGAAGGCCTTCAAATTTGGCCATTTATGGTACGGTATGTTGAGGTGGATTTTAGCCCCTATCTTCTGGGCCAAGAGACCCTTCCCTTCTGAGAGTTCGAATGTTCGGGTTCCAGTCATGTCCCAGTCTTCTTCGTTCCAAGGAGACGAATAGTTGGTTCTGGATGTTTGTTAGAGATCAAATCTTTTTCTATGGTGCATGCCTGGGCTTTGTGACTTAAGAGTTTTTGGCTCTGTTATACCTGCAAGGTAACTCAACATTGTTACAAACAGAGTAAGCCCCGTTTGGGCTGGTACTGTGGTTACAACGGCACTTATTCCCACCACCTAGAGTCAAGAGCTGCTGGCACACTGGCTGTTTACTTCCAGTTCCCACGGCCCCTATTCCCCTATACAAAATTACACAGGAAACATATGCGTTCATTTAATTAGCAAGTGTATATAAAAACATCATAGACAAAGCAAAAGTCTCTCTTGACACTCTCCATCTTGACCTGTTCACCGCCCCAGACCAGGTGAGGAAATTTGAAGCTATGCTATCTGCAAGTCACTGGCGCAGTCGGAATAAAAGTTGGTCGTGGTGGGGGCGGGGGGGGGGTGGTCATCTGGGTCGGGACTGAGTCGAGGCAGGTGGGACTGAGTGGTAGGGACCTGGGGGGACATCTGGGTCGGGTCTGAGTCCAGACAGGCCACCTGCCTTGGGCCTCTAACATTTCCGCGCAGCGCTGGGCTTTGAGGCTTTCCAGAGCGCTGCCGGGGCGGGGGCGGGGTGAGGTGAGGGGCTCACCCTGGCTCTCCCACCCCTGCCTACGGGCTGTGAGGTCACTCGATTCATTTCTGGAACTAACTTGTAATTCTCAAACAAGTGCTATTAATTCTCTTCCAACTAGGAACGGCCTCAGTAACGCGCCGCTGAGTCAGTTTTCAGGGCGGGCGGTTTCCCCAAGTCCACTCCTGAGGCCCCTCAAGAGCACCCACCGCGTCCAGCTTCCCAGGGCGCTCCTTCCCAGGAGACCTTCTTTTCGCCACTGTTTTCTCCCCTCTTCCCACTTCTCCGAGGGCTGCCCCGCGGTCTGTCCGGCCGTGTCCCAGGCCTTGGCGCGGCTGAGGCATGACCGGAATGCGCGGGAGGACGCGGGGCACGGAGGGGACCTGAGGCACGGAGGGAACCCGGGGCGGGCCGGACTGGCCTGGGCCCTCGTCGGGGCGGTGCTCGACCCGGCCCGCGCCCCCCGCCCCGACACTCGCAGCCCCGCCTCCGGACCCCGGGTAGTTGCCATCCCCTCGCGGGCCGGGTGGGGCGCGCAGCTCCTAGCCCTGGGAGGTCCCGAGGATCGCGAAACGGAAAGAGAAAAAAGTCTGCGCCGAGCGCCTGGCAAGCAGGGCCCGCCCCGCCTCCCTTCCCGGCTGGTCCAGTCACCGACCTGCGGCTCCGGGGCCGCGAGGGAGGAGGCGCGGGGGGCGCGAGGCGGGGGCGAGCGCTTGGGACTCGGCCCGGCTCCCGGCTCCGGGGGTTCTCGTGGCCGCGGCAGCGCGGTCTCTGCGGAGGCGGCGGGGGCGCGGCCAGCCGGACCTCTTCCTTTCCAGAGCGGCCCGCGGCGCCCGTTCCGCGGGAGGCGGGCGGGAGGCGGACGCGGCCTAACCTCGACGTCGACTACCGCGCCGCCCGCGATGGGAAGCGCCTTATAAAGCCGCGCCCGGCCGGCCCGAGCCACTCGCCGCCGCGCCGCCCCGCTGCCCCGAACGCGGGCCATACGCAGCCTCCTTGGAGTGACGGGCCGACCCCGGACGACCCCGGCCACGGACAGACCCGGGACGACCCCGGCCGGGGCGCGCCTCCTGCGGGCGGGCGGGCGGCGGGGCTGGGGAGCCCTTGGCGGGGGCATGCGTGCGACATGGCCTCGGCGGTGTTTGAGGGCACGTCGCTCGTGAACATGTTCGTGCGCGGCTGCTGGGTGAACGGCATCCGCAGGCTCATCGTCAGCCGGCGCGGCGACGAAGAGGAGTTCTTCGAGATCCGCACGGAGTGGTCGGACCGCAGCGTGCTCTACCTGCACCGCAGCCTGGCGGACCTGGGCCGCCTGTGGCAGCGCCTGCGCGACGCCTTTCCCGAGGACCGGTCCGAACTGGCGCAGGGGCCGCTGCGGCAAGGTGCGGGGCCGGGGACGCGGGAGGGGCGCGGGGCCGAGGCAGCCTTGAAGTGCACGAAGGAGGCGGGGAAGAGACTTCAACCGAGATTGCGACTTCTCCTTTCTGCCCGCCCTGGACAGGGGACACTTGGACCCCGCGCCCGCAGACGAGGGGTGCCCGGGCGGCGGGGTTAGGGGGACGGGGAGCCAGCCTGCCCAGCCTGGGGGCGCCCCCGGCGGAGGAGCCAAATGGGGCGGGAAAGGGGCCGAGGCCGGCAGGGCGGGCGCCGGACTCTCCCTGAGGACGAGTCACTTCCGAGGAGGGCGGGGGCGCCCGGGGCTGAGCGGCTCACAGGGTCGGCCCGGCCCTAGCCCCCTGCCCGGTACCTCCCGAGGGCCGGCGGGCGGGCGCACTGGGAAAGCGTCTGGGAGCAGTTAACTGCAGGGTCCGAGCCGGGGGTCGCGTCGGGTCTGGCCGCCGCCCCGAGTTCTCCCCGCGGAGGGCGCGCCCCTGGTCTTCGAGCGCGAGGTGCCACGCAGCCCTTCCGTCCCTCCTCGGAGCGGCCGCCCCGCCCGCGGCTGCCGCGGACAGCCAGGGCCCCCCCGCACCCCCGCCAGGGCTGGTCCCCATTCGCGTTTGATCAGCTGCGCCGCCTCCTCCCCGGCCTCGTGACCGTCCTGGCTCGCGGGAATTCTTGTTTTCAGAAACCGCGGTGGCTTCCCTTTTCCTACCGCTCTGCCCGATCTTTCTTTTGGAGGCCAGGCTGAGGGGGTGGAAGCCGGGAGGACGCAAGAGAGAGGGACTGGAATTGAGACGGGAAGAATTGCGGGGTGGAGGGGGCAGGCCGAGGAGAGGGGCCGCCTGGGAGGGCCGGGAGGGGAGAAGGGGCGGGAAGACTGGAGGACTTCCGAGCAGGTCCCACCCCCCTCCATGGGTGACCACCTGTAGCTCGGAACATTGGGACAGTGGCCCAGCAGCCTTCTTTTCTGCAGTCCTCCTCTAAGCAGAGACCTCCTGAAAGCTTGGGGCCAAGTTACTGAAGCAGAAGGTGGCCCGTCCAAGTCTCCCCAGCCTCCTATCTGGCTGCGTTCTTGAGATAACCTGTGCTTTCCCCTGGCGATGGCCCCAACCCCAGTGTGAGAATTACGTGGATAATTAGCTTAGTTCTCATGACACATCTTTTGGAAGGGCTCCCACAGCCAGCGAGTTGGGGCCCTGAGCGAGAAGGCCCGCCTTTCAGGCCTCCCTCTGCTCCCCAGAGCCTCACATTTATAGCTGTTCTCCAGACAGTTGGGTGTTATTTCAAGCATGGAAGCAGTTTTCCTTGGATTTGCTGTTTGTTATGATATTTTAAATTTAACAAATCAATGCCCAAATCAGGAAAGCATCGTGAAGGAACAGCGGTTTATTCAATGACCTTTCCTGGAACGAGGCTTAAATACACTGGAGTCCCTGAGCTTCACTGTGGTCAGGCGTCTGAGCTCCGTGACCCCAGGCAGGCTGGTTGGAGCGGGATCCCCGTGGGGCTCCCCACCTGTAACTTTGTGCTTGTGGTCTCTGACGTTTGTGAGGACTGAAAGGCATGGTAGAGGGTCTAACAAGAGCAGGTTCTCCATAAATGCCAGTTGTCATTGTTACCGTCCCATCAGCTGCTTCTGGCTGGGGTTGGGCCAGACGGTGGAAAGAGGGCGTGGTTTCAGTTGCATCCACGCTGGTGGAAATACCTCACCTGGAGCAGGAGGGAGGGGCGTGCCCTGCACACACCCTGGCTCCGCCTCTTTTGCTGTCGCCCTAGTTGTGCTGGGTCTGTTACGCGGTCACAAGCTGTGTGGACACGCAGGAGTGGCTCAAAAGAGTGAAGAAAGGTTGAAGACGCGAGCGATTACCGTGGAGAAAAGGCTCAGAAGGGATATGATAGCTACCTCCAAGTACCTCAAGGGGAACAGAAATCAGAAATAGGGGTCAGAATGATGGTGGCAGGGCTGGTGGGCGGTGAGTGTGAGGTCCAGCGGCTGGGTGTAAAGGACTTTCTCACAGCACACCGTGGAACTGTTGGAGCTGCTCTCTCTGCTGGGGACAGTCTGGCACACCCTGGAGGGGGTGAAGAGGGGAGCCTGGGACCAGAACCGGGACCATAAGCCCTGCCTTCATTCTAGTCCTTGGTTTTCTGAGGGGCAGTTAGTTGGTCCCTGCCCAGCACCACCTGAGTTTTGTTGTGCAGCGCCAGGGAAGTCCTTTCCCTTTCTTTGATCCTTTTAAGTCCAGGGAAATTGTTTGCCAAGTAAAATATATCCCAGTAATGTAAAAGCAGATTGCACCTTATTTCCATGCAGATTTATTGTTTGCATAAAAAGATTATCTGGATATACAAACTATAAACACAAAAGGCAGCCAGATGTGTGTGCTTTGCTGTGCTGCAATGCCGGCTTTTCTCTGCATCATTCCCTATCACATTCCCCAGTTTACATGGATTGAACTGTTTCTGGGACGGGTTAGATTTGCATTCTCTAGTTCCATTTAAGAGATTTGTGAGGAAATCTGGATTTCTGAGCTTCTGCTGGCAGTGGGCTGGTGACTCTTGGAAGTGTCTGCACACCCTTGGAGGGTGTGGGAGCCTTGGCCCCACTTGCAGCTTTGAATCTGCTAGCAATTAAAGGGATGCTGAGCCCTTTTCTTGGTCCCTTGAGTACTGCAGTGGGGGAGAATGTGCTTTTTCTCTCTCTGCACACACACACTGTGGAGTGGTGCTTGGAGGCCATCCCTGGGCCTTGTATGTGTCACGGTGACACATCTGCAGGGATATGTCAATCCCTGCCTGGGGTGGAGGCACAGTGCTCACTAGCGCTCTCTCCTGGACTTCTGTTTGGGTGAGGTCGGACCGGGCTGACCTCAGGACTTGCCCAGCTTCTGTCCTCTCTCCCCTTTCCTCGCACTCTCACTCTCCCACCCGACCTTCTTCTCCATCCAGATTGGATATGCCCCCTCTCCCTTTCTTGTCCCGCAGCCCTAGGGGAGGGAGGTAGCTGTTTCCTGGGGATATTGTCGCCGGGTTACCAAGGTGTTCCGTTCTTGTGTTTTCCAGACTCTTAACACCAGTGGGCCCAAGTCTTTCATTTCAGTCCCCTCTGTGCGATACCTAACATGGTTCAGGGTTACCCTTTATTTACATCTCTCGCATCTAGGAAGGTTTATGCTTTAAAACATAAACATGTTGAATTTCCTTGTTGGCATTTTGAGGCTCCTAGACTTTTTCGATTGTTATTTCTATAGTTTCAGGCTTTGTGATGTCTGAGCCAACCAGGTCACCACTGCAGCAACAGATTGTGTTCCCGAGTAGTCAGGTGATCTTTCATTCTTAGTAGCTGTACAATCAACATTTTGCTTTTACATTCATTCCATCAAATATCTGCATAGTGCCTACCACATGTGTAGGTGATGGTGGCACAGCAGTGAACAAGAGACCAAGAACATCCCTGCCCTCATGATTCTTATATTCTGGTTGGGAGAAATCCAATAGTAACAAGATAAACAAGTAACAAATACATTAGATAGTGATACATGTTCAAAAGGAAAAATAAGTAAGCAAAGAAAGGGGCTCCGACTTACAGGAGCAGGGGGAGGGGTTTTGCGTTTAGACAGGGTGATCGAGGACAAGTGACTTTTGAAGAGAGACATGAAGGAAAGCGGGGATCATGCCATTGGGTGCCTGGGGAAGTCGATTCTAGGCAGTGGAAGAGCAGGTGCAAAGGCCCTGAGGCTGGCATGTGCCTGGTGGGTTTGGGGAGTGAGGAGGTACGGTGGCTGGTGTGGAGACTGTTGGTCAGGAAGGGAGAGAGGAAGGTCGTGGTCACATTTGGGCTTTTATTCAGAGAGGGCTCTGAGCAGAGAGGTGATTTGGCCTGACTCAAACTCGGGCTGCTGTGCTGGGAAAGAGCAGGGGAGGCGTGGAGGCAGGTGCTGGGGGCTGGTGCAGCAGAGCAGGTGGGAGAAGTGGGCAAACGCTGATGTGCATTGAGGGAGAGCCACAGGGGCACTGCAAGGCCAGACATGGGGTGTGGAGTAGTGTGCAGATGACCCCAGAGTTTTCAGCCTGAGGTGCAGGACTGGCAGGATTGCCATTTGCTGCCATGGGGGAGTCGGCAGGAGGAGTTGACATGGGGGAGGGGGTGGCTCAGGAGGGCAGCTTGGGAGGCGGCATTTTAGCGTTTTCTCTTAGTAAGGCCATGATCACAAGCCCGCCAGCCCATGTGGTGCTAATGTACCTGCCTGTGCTCATCTTTATCACCAAAGACATTCATCTACCTGCATGCTAGGAGACTGTCGTCTTAGATTTGAGATCCGAGTACCAGGGGACTGGCATCTGGGACATTACCAGAAAAGGGCTGGACACAGATGTGACTACCAGACTCCCACAACCCTGACAGCTCTAGGAAGATGCGTGATTTGATCCCAGGGCCTGAACCTGCTCATGCTGTTCTCGGGTGGACAGTGAGGGGAGAAGCCCTGTGTTACCCTGAAACATAAGGGAGAATCCCACCCGATGGCCAACTGCAAAGCCACGGAGTTTACTTTCTTAGTGACAGTGGCTCAGAAATGATCATGGGCCACACCAGTCCCGGGCAGCAGAGCAGGGGCACAGAGGCACCATCTCTGCCCCATCCAGTGGGCCCTTGCAAGTGGGGTGCTGGCTGGGCCTGCCCTTTGCCTTCAACCATAGCTCCACCCCCGTGCAGAATTCACCTGCGTCATTCTGCCCCACCCAGAGGGGCAGCTTTACTTCTCAGGGGACTTGGATCTTCCTTTCTGACTCACAGACCTATTTTTGACTCTGTTGACCTGGCCAAGTCACCCTGCACTGGGGGTGCCCTGCCAGGGCTCCCATGGGGCCACCCACCTTCACGCGGCCTCCTCTTCCTCTTTCTTCCTTCTGTTTTGCTTTTCTTTGCCAAGCCCAAACCCCGCCGCCCACTCTGCTTCCCCCATCCTGCTGTACCTGGGATCCTCTTCCTTTTCCATAAATGGCCACTGAGCTGCGTTTGGTTTGCTGCCCCCCCGACAGATCTCAGACTGAGCCCCTGGGCCCCAGGCGACACCTGAGCTCACTTCCCAGCTGGAGACTGGACACTTCCACAGACAGACCTGCTTCCAGGGCTACTGCCTTTCACGGTGGCAGTTGGCACTGAAAAGCTGCAGCTTTCTCACAGAACAGGCCAGGGACTCAGCTCAGGAGCACCTTGATCTGAGCTCCCTGCTTGGTGGCGAGAGGAGCTGAACGCACACCATATGTGGTGACATTCTTCTGCAGACAGACACCTCTAGCTGTGCCCCCTCTTGCCCCATCCCACAGGAAATGGGGACATCAGACAGACCACGTAACTCTTTTGCCAACTTACACCTGCAAGGGTTTCTTCCCATTGTTAAGAAACCTTGCTGATGTTTAACCTAGACTCAGCAGAAAACACATGGTGGACAGCGGGTGCAGAGGGGGAGGGAAGAGCTTGCAGTTCATACTTTGATAGGTGGCAGCTGTCAGTCTCATCATAGAAGATCAAGGCCTTGCCAGATTGCTGGATCACCCACCTGGGACACAGCTGGGTCATGGTAGGAGGGGTCAGCTTGGGGGTCAACCACCTGGGACACAGCTCAGTTACAGTGAGAGGGGTCAGGCTCAGGGATCTCCCCACCTGGGAACACAGTCAGGCCTTAATAGGAGGGGTCAGGCTCAGGCTGAAAGCACTGGCTTTGGACCCAGACAGGTGGGGTTAGGGGATTGGATGCTGGCTTTGCCACCTGCATGTCATTCCAGGCAAGTTCCTCAAGCCTCGGGTGCACTGTTGATGCTATAGCAGTAATAATATCCGCACGCAGGGCCGTTGTGAGTACCGAAAGCAGTGGTATCCGTAGAGTGCCCAGCACCAAGCTGGGCATATACGGGCTGCTGGCTTTGGGACCATTTGCTCTTTGCCCTGGCACTTGCCACGTGCCCTTGATGACAGTGGTCTGCGGGAGAGTGCTGGAGGCTGGCTCCTGAGAGCAGCGAGCCGCTTGGCAGGACTGGCCCACTCATGTGCCCGCCCTCTTCTGGGTGTGGCCCCCCCATATACCCTGGGAGAATACCCCTGCCCTGGCTAAAGAGGGAGCCCACAAAGAGGGAGGTCACCACCGAACTTCAGTGGGATCCCTACGGACTAGGCCTGTGGCCTTGCTCGTCCAGAAACTAGAATTGGTGCTGGGTGTGGGCCAGGTTTGGGTTACCTAAGAAAGATCCTAAGATCTAGGCCTGATCCTAAGAAAGAATGGCTGCCGCGGTGGCTCACGCCTGTAAGCCCAGCACTTTGGGAGGCCGAGGCAGGTGGATCCCTTGAGGTCAGGAATTTGAGACCAGCCTGGCCGACGTGGTGAAACCCCGTCTCTACTAAAGATAGAAAAATTAGCCGAGCCTGGTAGCGCGCATGCCTGTAGTCCCAGCTGCTCGGGAGGCTAAGGCAGGAGAATCACTTGAACCCTGGAAGCGGAGCTTGCAGTGAGCTGAGATTGCACCACTGCCCTCCAGCCTGGGTGACAAGAGCGAGACTTCGTCTCAAATAAATAAATAAATAAAAACAAGAATTGCCAAGTGCACAGAGTTCTTGTAGCCAGAACCTCCGTGGGAAGCCGTTGCCTCCTTGTCCCTCATGGGCAAGGCCCTTTCCCGGGATTTGTGAGACCACGCTTGTCCTTTTCTGGTCTCAGCTCTCCCCACCCCTGCCCTCCACCTTCCCCATCTCACTCCCTCTTTCCCCAACCCCTTTCACCCTTATATCCGCTCACCCTTCAGGCCGCCTCCTGCCCGGGAGTGTGGGGGGGATCCCCTGCTGTGCATCCTCCTGGCACCTGGATTTGCCAGGCAGGGGACAGTCTGTGGTCTGTGTTTGCCTCCTGTTGGCCCTCCTGGCTAGCATGACGTGCCAGGAGGCCGGGATCCCATCTTGTTGGCCGTGGTATCCCCAGCCTGGTGGAGGAGGAGCCATGGGTGCTTTGGGAAGAGCGACTGAAGTGCTTCCTTCCTGCCTGAGTGGGCTGCTCCCCCTGGGAACCTGTGATGCTGCAGGACGGACTGGCTAAGTGGATGGCTGTTGGAGAATGTTGAGTCTAAAATTTAGGAAGAGGATTTGGCTTTTAGTGGGGAAAATAATGAAAAAGCCTAGAGAAGGCAGGATTACGGGAAGAGCAGAGCAGAGCTCAGTAAGTTTAAGTCAAACATTTCTTTCCCAGTCGCTCTAGGAGCCACCTCCCAGGTACAGAAGGCAGCCACTGCTGCAGAGGGAGGAAGAGAGACTTCCCTCAGCCCCCAGCTTGGGTCCTCCGGGTGTTCTGTTTTTCCTCAGCCACTTCCATCTCTTCCTCTTGCATTCTCAGCTCAGCTTTTCACTCCTGAAAAGATGTAGAGGAGAGGTGGCTGTGGACCAGCCGCTGGGCGCCCCTGATGCATTGCAGCGTGGAGGTGTGGGGGAGGCCTTCTGTCCTGGTGTCCACACAGCCGCAATCTCGCTCTCCTTGTACAGTTATACTGCGTGACACTCCACAGGTGGAAACGTGTCAGTCTCGGATAGCGAAGAGCAGCCTCAGGTTCCCAGGGAGTTAGAACTTCCCTGGGTTGCTTAGTTATGCATTGAATAACCAGCTAGTCAGTTCTTAACTCGCTGCTGCTTCAGCATTGACTGCCTATTTAGAAAACAGGTACTTAGGAAGTTTTAAAGGCTTTCCTAAAACATTTTAGATATTTAGTTTCCAAGATGTGTATTATAGTCAACCTTTAAAGAATGTGTGTCTCCCGTGCAGCATACAAGATGAGGCTGCGTTCCCCCCTTCACCTCTGCATCTGTGTAGTGTGCTGATGGGCACATTTGTTAAATGGAAAGGAAACAATATAAATGTAATTTATGGTTTGACTCAGTTTGTTAAAGCTCACTTTGCAGAGCATTTCCCCGGGGCCGACTGTTGTGTGCGTGTGGGAACCGCGTCCTCTGAGTGCTCAGAGAGGCCTGTTCTTTGGGTAGTGGACGCTCTTTAACGTGTGACCTCCCAGCGCACCCGAGCCAGCATCCTGCCTTTAGTTTCAGAATTGCAGCAGCAGGAAGCCCTCCCGCTAGAGTCAGATGGCCAAGGTCCTCCCTGGAGGAAGCTGGGCCAGTTACCGCAAGTGTTGAGCCCAAAGCCTCCAATTCCCAAAAAAGTGGGACTCTGGACCCAGGTTTCTGAGATCCGGAAGCGGTGTTTGTTAACGTTGGCTCTCACTGTCAGATTTTTGTACTGCCTCCAGCGCGTTCAGTTCTGATTCCAAGAACAAATCAGGTGTTTGTGTTTGCAGAAAGCAGCTAATCCCCAAATTGACAGATACAACGCTGTGTTTTCAGCTTTCGAGACCTAACTCCTTTAGGAAGAAAAGTGACGCTGGCAGCCCCCTGTTGATACTCAGTCCCCAAATGTGTGTCCAGTTGGCCCACCGGAATTTATGTACAATTGTGTTACCAATTTTTTGGTTTCAAATTCTTAATTGTTTGGCTACATCTGGATGAAATTCTCATGTCACAAATTGTGTAGGATGAAATTTTTAAAGTTGAGGTTGTATTAGTGATTATTTATCAGAAATTAGAACAGTTTCCGGGGCTGTGAACTCTGAGGCTAACTTCCTTAAGCGTGCGTTGCAGTGAACGCCATCCTGCTTTTTCCGCAGAGTGCGCGCGCCCCCTGCTGGTCAGTCCTGAAAGACCCGAGCGAAGCGGCTCTGCTTCCGTTTTCAGGTTCGCTTGGCAGAATAGGCAACCCTCTTCACCTGCCTGCGGTATTCATCCGTGCGATCTCAGGCAGTGAAACCAAGTCGGACAGGAACCCCCAGAATTGTCATGCCATCAACAATATTTGGAATATAAAAACCAAAAGTTTTAGATGATCTAAAATTACTGTATTTAAGTGCAGTTTTGAAAACAAGTTTTCAAATCGTTGCTTATGGTAAACAGGTGACAACATTTGGAAAGAATCCACTAGCCATTTGGAAGCCAAAGCACTTGAGTCACAAAGGAGGAGTACAACAGGTAGGATAGAAAGAAACGCAGATGCACTCAATAGTTTGCTTTGGGGGAAGCAGTATTTCTTAAACTCATAGTTCTTGTCTGTTCCTGGAAAATAAAGCAGTGTCTTCAGCGTGGATTCTGCTCAGAACTTTTTCTTTATAAATTTGAGTATTTGTAATTTGGCATGCTGGCAGCAGGAGCTTGAGGTTTCCAGCTGTGAAACTGAGAAACCTTAGTGAATATAAAACAATCAGAAATTGCAAGATGAAGATTTCTTTTATTTCTGCACTGTGGTCCCAGTGGACAGTTGTACAGTTTTTTTTTAAAAAGTGTTTTCCTTCCACATTAAATACACCCATCCGTTTGGTGTATTTGAAACATTTTAAAAACAATTGAAGGGGAGTAGGGAAATGGGAGCGTTGGCATTTTAGGAAGGCCAGGCTGTCTGTAGTCTCTTGCCAGTGTCACTTCTTGAGTGGGGGCGGGGAGGCGTTTGCTGCTCAAGGCAGCCCCGCGCTGCGTTCTTGTCGCCGTGCTCTGGAGCTCTGGTGGTAGCAGCTGGAGCAACAGCAGCCCAGTTGTGCTGCTGTCAGTCAGGTGGGTTTCAGTAAGTTCAGCAGAATTCATCACTTCATGAATCAGCTGCGGCCCCTCCTGGGGAAGGGATCAGCGCTCGTTGTCATTCAGGTGAACTGTCTCCGTGGAGAAAGGACCACAGTGTCCTGAGAAAGCTGATCCAGATTGCCAGCTTGGTTGCCACCGGGAGCCGGAATGGGGAATTCAATAATGGACGTGCCCTTAACTAAAATCCTAGAGCTTAAAAAATAAGCACCGTCATTTCTGTGCTTCCAGGCAGGGATTCCAGCTCTTCACTTTCCCCATCTAAATTTTCTCAGGCTCCTTTTGTTTGGTTGTTAAGGATGTTTACACACCCAAGGAACACAGTTTGGCTTCCATTCAGAAACATAAAAGCAGGTGAAAGGAAGCAATGTGGTTCTGCACATTTCCACAAATAAAATCAAACCAGTGTGGCTCAGCAGTTTTAGTGCCACTTGGCCCTCGAGACTCTCCTTCGAGGCTGGTGACCGAAGAGCCTGCTGCTGGTCGGTTGTGTCTGGGGTCAGGCTGAGGTGATGACGAGAAGACCGAGACTGGGGTGCTGCCCAAGGGCAGCTGGTGCACACACAGGAGAGTGACTAACACCTGTCCACTTCTGTCTCATCTGATGCAAGTGTATTCTGCCAGCACAGCCAGCGAACATCGCATCCCTGGCATGGGCCAGGCACTGTGCTGGTTGCTGGTCACAGGGAGATGAGCCTAAGGTGCCTCCTGCCCTATGACTCTCACTAGTCTCTGGGGAGACCCCCAGGTGAAGGCACAGTCATTGCAGAGGAGCAAGAGGCTGTAGAGGGTGGGATGGGCTTTCCGAACCCACAGGCAGGAGCCAGTCCCATCATCACAGAGCAGGTGGCTTTTGCCTAAGTGGGCTTTGCCCCATCATGAGCCTGGAGGTGGAGGAGGCTGGAGGACAGCTCACCTGGAGGCTGTTGGGAAGCGAGGGCCTGTTTCTCGGGGTTGGCTTGAGGGTGTGTTTCACAGGGCACAGAGCTGGTGAGGTAGGTGGGCTAGGAGCAGGTCATGAAGAGTCTGCACGCCCAACTAAAATCCTAACACGGTTTCCAGAGGCCTGACCAGGTACACTTGCCTTTCTGTAGTTCAGTCTGGAAGATGGGTCACAAAGAAGATAGCGTAGGCAGATAAAATACCGGACCCAAAGTTAAGTTTGAATGTCAAACAGCAAATATGTTTTTAGTGTAAGTCTGTCCCTGCTATTGCATTATCCATTGTTTATCTGAAATTCGTATTTAATTAGGCATCACGTGTCTTATTTGCCAAGTTTGGCCATACTAAAAGGAGATCAGTGTACCGCAGAATATATTTATCTCCCTAATGTGACCCTTGGAGGTTATCAACCCAACCAAGAGCTGCACATTAATTAAATCAAAGATGTAGCCAAAGATATGTCAGCAAAGCAAAGATAAAAGCATTATAAACCTCTATAATACCTGTAAATTGTTAGGTCACGCTTTCTGTCCTATGAAATGGGTATACATGTGCTGGATACATTGACTTTGCAAGAAGCCGATCTTGTAAACTGAGTACAACTAGTATGTCATTCATTTGATCAACTGGAAGCTAGTATTCTAGCTGTAATGAAAGTTGAAATATAACAGTAGTTTTGCTTGTCTTAGAATAAAGAAGCACTTTGTGGGAATGAGTTATATAATTGTCTTCTCTTTAAAAACAACTTTTTAAGAATTTTGAATTGGCTCCCCTTTCCTTGGTAGACTTCCCTGAGCAAGCAGGGGATCAAAGCATTTTGGTTGAAAGAGTGGTGCATATATACATCTTGTAGTATATAAATATTTGAAATTCTATGTAAATTGCGGTATATAAATATTTGAAATTCTATGCAAGGAATTCAGGGCTTGGGAGGAGGCATCCGGAGAGTCTGGTACTTTTGTTGTTTTCTCGTTTTCTTCCTTCTCCACCCTGCTTGCCCCGGCGTGTGGGGAGGTGGGCCGAGGCTGGAGAACACGGCAGAGGGTCGTCCAGCCCCTTCCTCTGGTGACGGCCAGGGCATCGTGCTTGGGCGTAGGCACAGGCCACGTGGACAGAGGCCCCAGGGTTTTCCAGTGGCTGAGTCACAGACCACGGACCCTGCCCCTCTTGGACCCTTGTGCCCTGCACAGCTGGCCGCCTGGGCCTGTGTGGCTGAGGTCAGTGGAGGGGGCAGGATCAGATAGCCCCACTGCTAAGCAGGGATGCCTGCTGGGATACCAGGTGAGCCAGCTGAATGGGCACCTGGCACGTGCTTGAGGAAGTGGGGAGAAGGTTCTTGGCCTCCACTGATCCCCACTGACCCCCGTTATGGGGATGCCCCTGCGGTAGCCCACTCTTGCAGAAGTGCCTTTGACCTATGTCTGGGGAGCCCTGGTGGGAGTTTTCATGGACTGTATGCTCTGGGACCTCTTAATTTCAGTCAGGAAGTTTAAGAAATCTTTTTTTATCTCTCTTATAGACCTATTCAACGAATTGCTTGAAAACTGAACAGGCTTTTCCCCTGCAAAACAAAATCAGACCAGAACTTCTGAAAAAGTTAGTCTCCGTGACCAATAATACTAGGTTGGTGCAAAAGTAATCGCAGTAATCACGGTTTTTGCCATTAATAGTTCTGGCACTTAAGCCTTTGTGGTTTAATCACCGCTCACAGGCACGTTTGCATCAGCCTCGGTCACACAAGTGTGGGGGAGACGCCAGTGTCCTTGGGCACCTACTTCCCCATCCCTGCAAAGCCGACGGATAGAACCTGTGATGGGAAGACTTCTGCTCTGCGCTTCTCATGGGGAGATAGAAAAGCACCCGAGCCTTCATGCCTCGAGCTATGGTATTTTAAAAATAAAATATTATGCTGCCTGACAGCCACTCGGGTGTGTGGTGACCGTGAGAAGCACAGAGGCCCAGATTCCTGGAAAGTGGCATGAGTCGTGTCCACTTTGGTTTTGTCCAGGCAGAGATCTGACTTTTTTCCTTGTGAACTTGGCATGTAAATGACTGGTCTAAACAGAGGCTCCATTTCCAGGGGTCTGCGATCTGAGCAGCCGTGGCCAGCAGAGTGAGTCCTTCCCTGTGTCACTGGGGGTGGGCTGGTCCTGGGCCAGCACCCCTGACTGTAGCCACCACGCTGGTGGGGCCTGATTCGCCCTGGGCTGAGCTCTGGCTGTGACCAGGGTGATTATGGAGTTTGCCAGGCTGCCCCACTTGGAGGGATCTTACACCTCCCATCCCCTTTTCAGATTGACAGTACCAACTCCTGCACAGACTTTATGGATCACTGGGTAGGTGAAACATGGAATGAGGCTTAGAGCAGGACTTCCAGAAAGCGGCTATAGGTGCATAAGGCTGAATGAATGTTCCCGACATCTCATTACAGATGACGACCCTGGCGGTTTGTGGGCACCTGTTGTGTATTGCATTGGGAGCGCGTTTCCTGGTGTGCTATTCTGACTTTGAGCATTTCTGTCTCAATTCTAGGACTGGTTGCCATAAAGGAAGCCCACGACATAGAGACCAGGCTTAATGAGGTGGAGAAGCTGCTGAAGACGATCATAAGCATGCCCTGTAAAGTGAGTGTGGCCAGGCCCCGGGCTGGGCAGGGAGGTGGGAGGTGCTGGCACCTCCCAAATGCGAAAGGCGTCCATCCCCCCGGAGGGTTGACTTGCTTGCTCTGTCTCACTTAGCCGTTTTGTTCCCTCCCTGGTAGTACCAGGCGATAGGGACGGAGTGGAGGTGTGCAGGTGTAATCAGGAGAAAGAAGGCTTTCATGGGCTCCAGTGGCCCCGGTTTTTCCTCCCTGGGGAAAGAGTGAAAATGAGGGATGCAAGGAGGCATGGGTGGAAGGGTGCGGATCCCCTCTGGCTGCAGGAGGCCTTTGCTTTCTGCCTCTGCTCAGAATCCACCGTCTTGCTGAGGGGATTTTAGAACAGACACGTGGAAACCAAGAAGAACGTTGGCGTCAGCACAGCGGGGCACGTTGCCCGGATTTGACCGTCAACTCCCTTTCCATGTAAGCCTGCGGGCTTCGTCGTGAGTGGTGGTTAAGAACCTGGACTTGAGCGCCAGGCAGACCTCCTTAGCTCCTGGAAGCTTCCCTTTCTTTCTGGCCAGTGGGGAGAGTGGACACAGCCTACAGTTGACTATAGAGGGAGGGAGGCGCAAGTGAAACTGGCACATCAGAGCCATGATTCCCTCCACTGCCCAGGTCGCTGAGGCCTTGCCTTTCAGCCGCCTGGGCCATGAGCATGTGAGGGCTGTGCAGTGATGGCAGCCCCGCCCCTGCGGCCAGCCATGGGAGCATCTGGACATTCATGGGGCGTTTGCATCACACAGGCTGCCTCTGCGGAGGAGCGGGGCCCTCTCTTGGTAGACAGACAGGGCCAACGTGTAGAGGCTGATCGTTTTTAGTAATCCCTGCATTTCTCCCCAGTATTCTAGATCGGAAGTTGTGCTCACCTTCTTCGAAAGATCTCCTCTGGATCAGGTGTTAAAAAATGATAATGTGCATAAAATTCAACCCAGCTTTCAAAGTCCAGTCAAAATATCAGGTAAGAGCCACAAAGGAGGCGTTGGTGGGAGGGACTGCTGTTGAGGCTGAGATGTCACAGAAACCCTCACAGTTGGCTGTCTCTGAGGCTGGGCCACACTTTTCCAGAAAGACAATCGAGAGAAATGCGAATGTACAGGGAGAGACTGTTGCCTGATTCTCCCAAGCAGTGTTTCCTCCTGTGGTTTTCACTCCTGCTGCGTCCTCAGGGGTTTGTTTGGCATGTAAATTGGAACTCACTTAAGAAATGGTATAACGATGAACAAACACATTGATGATAGAGTTTGAAGCAAACTATTGGAATCCACTGTTCAGCCTGCTGAAGTGAGACAGCCCATGTCACGTGGCATTGAATTTGGTTCTTGCTTTTAGGGGCAGCCATAACCAAAGGGACGCACAGGCTTTAGGTCTCCTTAGCGTGGATGTGGGACTGTGGCTCCTGGCACAGGAAGGAAGGAAGGGGAAGCTGGGGCCTCTTGGCCAGTCCAAGTTTGGTGACTTACTAAGATCTGGGTTGCAGGTGTCATGAGAACACTAGACTTGCTTTTTGCAGCACTATTTTGACAAAGGCTGATGAGGAGGATTTTGTAGGGAAAAGAGGTCTGTCCTGGGAGTCTCTAGGACTGGATTTTCCCAAGCAAGTGGCAATCACCTTGTGACATAAGAGGTGACAGTTGTGTGCGATCTTGCCTGGTGGACAGGGAGGGAAGGGGGGACTCATGAGAGGAGACATGGCTCAGCCAGAGGAGAGCACCTCCATGATGTTGCGATCTGTGGGAAGGAGAGCAGGGGGCCTGTGTCCATCATTCCGTTTCTGAATGGAGGAGGAAGCAGGGGAGAAGGAGGGATGGAGGACTCAGAAGGATGTCAAGGGAGAAGAGTGGATGAGAGGGGGTCTGAGCCCAGAGCTGACCCAGAAGGAATTGGGAGACCAGAGGACAGTGGGGATGGGTGACTGATGCTGTTGGCTGTGAACGTGGCCTTGCTGATTATGGGCCACAGCACAAGTGGGATTCTGAATTGTGTGCTTGGGAGAACTGGGTGGGGTGGGCAGGTTCTGGAACCTGGAGTGGAAGATGGGTTTGTAGATATTAATAGGATTGTGTGTGCGCAGGGTGGTGGCACACCTGACCCTGTCTGTGGCTGCTGCTTTGTTTTGTTTTTTACTTTTTTGTTTGTTTTTACTGACACATAATTATTGTACATATTTATGGGGTAAAGTGTGATGTTTTGATACATGTGTATATTGTGTAAAAATCAAATCAGAGTATTTAGCATTTCCATTATCTCAAACATTCATCTTTTCTTTGTGGTGAGAACATTCAAAATCCTCTCTTCCAGCTATTTTGAAATACACAAGGCAGTACTGTTAACCCTTGTCACCTTACTGTGCAGTAGTACAGCAGAGCTTATTCCTCCCACTGTCACTTCGTGCTCACTGACCAGCCTTTCCCTGTCCACCGCTGGCCCCTCCCCAGCCTCTGGTAACCACTGTTCTACTTGCTGCTTCTATGATCTCCCCTTCTCTAGGTTCCAAATATGGGTGAGATCTTGTGACATTTGTCTTTCTGTGCCTAGCTTATTTCACTTAACGTAATGCCTGCAGGCTCATTCATGTTGCCACAAATGACAGCATTTCATTCTTTTTAATGGCTGAATAGTATTCCGTTGTGCATATGTACCACATTTCCTTTACTCATTCATTGGTAGCTAGACACTTTGGTGGTTTCCGTTGTGTGTTCTTGGCACCTTTGTCAAAAATCAGTTGGCTGTAAGTATATCGATTTATTTCTGTGTTCTCTATTCTGTTCCATTGGTCTATGTGTCTTTTTATGCCAGTACCATGCTGTTTTGTTTACTGTAGCTCTGTCGTATATTTTGAAATTGTGTAGTGTGATGCCTCTGGCTTTGCTCAAGATTGCTTTGGCTATTTGGCATCTTTTTTGGTTCCATATACATTTTAGGATTGTTTTGCTCATTTTTGTTGTTGTTGTTTTGTTTGTTGGTTTTGTTTTGTTTTGAGACAGGGTCTCCCTCTGTTGCCCAGGCTGGAGTGCGGTGGTGCAGTTACAGCTCAAGTGATCCTCCTGCCTCAGCCTCCCAAGTAGCTGGGACTACAGGCGTATCCCATCATGCCAGGCTAGTTTTTGTATTTTTTGTAGAGATGAGGTTTTGCCATGTTTCCCAAGCTGGTCTGAAACTCCTGAGCTCAAGCAATCCATCTGCCTTAGCCTCCCAAAGTGCTGGGATTATAGGTATTAGCCACTGCGCCCGGCCTAGGATTGATTTTTTTTTCTATTCCTGTGAAGAATGTCATTTGTATTTTGATGGGGATTGCGATGAATTTGTAGATCACTTTGGGTGGTATGCTGCTTTTGATATCTCCCTAAGATACCTTCCTATGTGCCTTTAGACAAGAGCAGTGAGTACAGGAGCCCCTTTTTAGCTGGCACTGGGTCTCCAGAACCTTTATGGGAGAGTGAGGATGACTGGGTCCTTTTTCCTGGCTGGGTGTCTATGGATCCTCATCTCAGAGGGCTCACAGAGGGCTCTGGAGTCCTAATTGTCTATTGCTCTGGGTTTTGCATTTTGTAGTGCAGAGCATGGGGAAGCCTGGTTCTTTAGTCTGAGTGGGGAGAGTCCTAGCACCAGTGTCTCTGTTTTGGTTTGTTTTGCTCTGTTTGGGCAACCCAGAGATCAAGGAGCAGCAGAGTCCTCTTAGTGCCTTGCCTTATGGGAGGTGCTGGCCCCCGAGTGAGAGGGATAGATTAGAGGCCTGGAGCCACCTCTGATGGAGAAGCTCCTGAGGCACAGTGCCCGGCACATGCTTCAGCCTGCCCTGGCCTCCCGTCTCTATCAGCGATGTGTATGAACACATGGCCCACGTGGACCCTAAGGGGCGAGCATAGTGAGACGAAATTTAACAGGGAGAAACGTAGAGTCTCATGTTGCCATTGAAAGTATGTTTTCTTTGCCTTTTTGCAAGGGCTGAGGACAGGTTTCAGCCACGGCTGTCTGTGGCCTTCCGTGTGTGATGGGGGTGCAGTGTCCAGGTCTAGGAAGGCAGGGGTCCTGGCCTCCTTATGCAAGTCAAGACTGTCCCCGGGATGCAGCAAGATGAATTATTACATCCAGAGAAGAGTGTCTGGTGGGCAGGGGTCAGAAGAATGGGAGGAAATGTGGAAGAGCAGCTAGGAGGAAGGGGATGCCACCTTCAGATGTTGGCGGGCTGCCATGGGAAGGGGTCAGGTGGGGGCTGGCACTAGGCCTGTGGGTAGAAGTAACTGTGGGCGACTTTGGCTCAGCACAGAACACGTTCTAACATCTGGGGCTGCGTAACCATGGAGTCTGCACCAGCCAGTGGCTAACAGTCTCAGTGCAAAGTCTGGGGGCCCGGAGGTGTTGCTGCAGGAGGCGGCAGGCGGTATGGCCTCTTGCAGCCTTGCAGAGCCGAGGGTCTCAAGTGCTCTGAGTGTTTCCTCCTCTTCCTCTTCTCTGCCGGTCACCGAGTCTGGTTTTCTTTCTCTGAACCCCCCAGACCTTCCGATCTCTGTTCCCGGTCTAGCTCGCCCCTCACTGTGTCTAAGGGAGCTTCTTAATCTAGAGCAGTTGTGCCTGCCGGTGGCGAGGCGGTACACCCACGCACACCATGGCAGATACCTCCCTTCAGGAGTGTTTTTTAATGAAATTACTATTGACAATAAATAGCCCCAACATCCCTTTGAGAAAATGGCTCACACATAGGCACACCATGTTCTCAGTCTTGGTCCCATATTTGGCATGTTTCTGGATCTGTGGCTCCCCAGGCTGAGGCGCGGGGTCCAGAGAGTCCTGGCATCACCTGAGACTGTCCACACGGCTTTCTCTCATGCGTCCCCCTTTCTCCAGGATATGAACCCGAGGACTGAGCCAGTCATCCCAAAGCTCTGACCTCTGAGGCTTATTAACTGTCTTAAAAGCTCACTCTCACCATCAAGCCCAAGTTCTTGGTCATTCTGGGCATTCAGAGCCTAGCCCACGCTAGCCTTTTGATGTTGTCACCTCCACTCCAGAGCCTCAGCCTCCTGCAGGGGACTGGCCAGCCGTTGCATGGACTGTGGCCCTGCAGGGTCCTTCGTGCAAACCTGCCTGTCCACTGCTGTCCTGGTTAATTCCATTCATTCCCGGCCGAGAGCCCACATCCACCCTCCTCCTCCATTTCTTATGCCACTGACATACGTGTAGGGAGGTGGTGCCATGGGGAACAGGCACTGACTGTCTCTGCTCTCATGATGTAGGCTGGGGATGGGGACCTGCAGGTGCTGAGTACCTTGGCTTTTCTAGGATCGTTTAGTTGTCAGGAGCTCCACTAGATGGCGCCCGGCGCTAGCAGGCGCGGCGACTGTTTCCACATCCTGGGGCCACGGTGAGGACAGTCAGGATGGACTGCATCCCTTGGCAGTGCTTCCAACCAGTACAGCCTTAATCATTCTTTGTCCCAATGCTTATCAAATGTAAGAAAGCAAGAATTTAGAGCGTTCTGCCTCATGGCTGCAGCTGTGCAATGTAAAAGGAAATGCAAACCTCAGCTTCGATCTGGCAACTTGGACTCATCAATCTCAGCCACAAAATCTGACCATTCAGGTTTAAGAGGCCTGGAAATGAATCACAATTTTATTTTTCATTAATCTGGCTTCTGGCCAATCTCAACCTTAGTTTCACTATGTAGGGGTAGCCCAGCTAGCCAGTTAATACAAGGGCACTGCTTTGGGTTTTGTTCCGTTGCTGGAGTACATGGGAAATACAGTGGGAGAGAGGAGGTGAAAGGGAGGAAGGCTAGAGTATGAATGCTTTCACGGCTGAGACCGCGTGTCTGCTGAGAAAAGGAATAGAGTTATTGAAGTGAGGGGTTGTGACGTTTGTGGGGCTATGAAAACATAGCTGCATCTAAAAAACAGAAAAATTGCCATCAGGCAAACAGACACATTGGTAATTGTTGCAAAAAAGATCCATTGATTGATAGATGCAAAGATTTGTGAGTGAAACTGAGGAGAAACAGGATTTGCATAGCTGCAAGGCATCCTCCTTCAATTAACTACAAAGGGAAAGGTGGTAACTTCGCTGTGGAAACAGCTGGCAGAAGCCTCCTCACCAGGCACTCCACAGCAGCCTCAGCAGCAGCAGGACCTGTCAGCCTCAGCCCCACCCCCATATGCCACTCCAGGTCTCATGCAGCGTCACTGTGTAGGGTTCCTGCCAAAAATGCATCACCTCAATCGAATCACTCTGAAACTGCCAACAAACCCAAATCGAGGGACATTTGCTAAAATAGCTCAGTCCTCTCTAAGAGTGCTACGGTCATGAGGGACAAGGAACGATGGAGGAACTGTCAGAGGTCGCAGAAGACCAAGACAGAGCAACTCATTGCAGCAAGAGATCCTGGATTGGGGCCCCCACGGAAAAGAGGAACGTTGGTGGAAAGACTGTTGAAATTCAAGTGAAGGAGGTCTTTCATTTAGTTAACAGAATTGTGCCAATGTCAGTTTCCATGGAAGAGCAGGGCTGCTTTCATTTGGAAAAATATGAGTGTAAAAAAATAGCTTGAAAGTCAACTATTTCATGGAATCAGTCATGTATGTGATTAAAATGGCTACATTGGTCAAAGATTCTTGCTATAGATACTAAGCTGACTTCTAAGACATTCACACTGTATGTTTGAAGAGAGGCTCAGATGCTATAATTTTTCTTGAATGACAGCATTTTCTTCCGTTCTTTTTTATTTACATCATAACAGATCTGAGGACATTACTAACAATGATCATAATAGCTGTGAGGAAATGCGGACCTCAGCCTTGATACGGCTGTTTGGACTCATCAATTTCAGCCACAAAATCTGATTATTTAGGTTTAGGGGGCCTGGAAATAGAACACTGTTTTTCATTAATCTGGCTTCTGTATAATGTCAACCTTATTTTTACTAAATAGGGGTAGCCCAGTTAGGCAATTAATAAAAGGGCACTGAATGATCATGATAGATCACTCAGGACTCTTTATTGAGCCCTCAGTATTTGCTAGATTCTTTACATACATCATCTCAAGTTAGTCTGCACAATGGCCTTTGGAATGGATACCTTTATTTCCATTGTACAGATGAAGAAACTGAGCAAGAAGTAACCTGCTCTCCAGGCATAAGTAGCAGAGCCTTCCCCAGCTGCAGTCTGCATGCTTTCCTACCTGCTCGTGCCTCCTGAGGAGCCAGCATTCCACACTGAGACACGCCATGCTTGCTAGTGCTCTGGCCGAAGGCACATGGCAAGTTATCAGTGGATTTTGTTACAAGTCAGGCTCCCTGGTCCCGTAGCAATGAATCTCAATGCAGCCTTTTGCCTGAAGGTACAAGTTCATGGTCTATACCATCGTCTTGTGAAAACTGACCTGGGAGGTCAACTCCCATGTAAATATCTGCTGTCCGTGGTTGAAACGGGGCACAGGCTACAGGCTTAGCAAGAAGATCTCCTTAAACCAGTGGTCCCTACAATTAGAGGCTTGCTACAGCTAAATGTTTTTTCTTCTTTTTTTTTTTTTAAACTGTGGACGTGTTCTAATTTCTACAGCTTTTCTTAGGACTTGTTTGTTAAAGTGACCAAGTAAATAAAAATGTAAACTGTTAGAGAATCTGTGCTCCATTTTCACCTGGCACAGGCGTATAAAAGCTGTGCACACTTCCCTAGGTTTTAAGACAATTTGCTTTTCAATAAACCATCCCTTTCTGAACCCGTGTTGGGAATAAATGTTCCAGAGGTTGCTGCACACCTGCCAGCTGTGTAGCCTGCTGGCTTGCCCCTAGGTTTTTCGAGGTTCTGGGGCTGACAGCAGAGGTGGGATCCAGGAGGGAACCGGAGCTTCTCAGGGACCATCTTTAGTGAAATGTGAGAGTCTAAGCGAAGTCCCTCTCTGGGCCGGGCCTGAGACAGCAAGGTCCATGCAGGAGGCACCAGACATACCTTAGTGTCCTTCAGGGCCCAGCCAGCCTTGCAAATAATTAAACCACATGTATGTGCATGAGGCTCCTTGTCACAGGCAATTAAGGAAGGATTGCTTACAAATCTATTTTTTGGGGGACTGGTAATGACTCCGTTTTATAGAGCTCCAAATTTCACATTTAAGAAAGATTAGGCATGTAAAGTAACTCTTCAGAATTTTATTCAGAAGTGATTTGCAGCAGTGACATTTGTTTTAACTTGTAGGCCACCACCCAACCAAGTTCCCTTTGCAAAAGGGGTGGGAGAAAGGGGGATGGGGCTGTCAGCTGGCTGTATGGAGGTTGCTCTGAGGTTTTATGTGCTTCCCAAGAAAGACAGATTTGGGTCAGAGTTAATAAAAACAATAAAGGCAGTGGTTCTGTGCTGCCACCCATTTTAGATAGAGAGGCGAGGGAATCTTAGTTTATCTTGTTAGGATATGGCAGTTTTCACAGTCCGCCTGTTCAGCGAGGCTTTGGTAAGCATCTTCTTTCGCCCCTTTTACACCTGGAAGTGTGGCTGACCCCAGACTTTGGGCACTGATTCCTCTTTGCTTCGCAGAGCTCCTTCTCAGGACCTGCAGCCCTACCAGGTGGTACAGGGAGGAGGGCAGGGAAGAGCTGAGGACTGATGTCCCCAGGAAACACCAGTGGCCCTTCTCCAGAAAGGCAGGTGGAATTTTAGCAATGACCTGATGAATCTGACTGATGAATCGACATTTTGATCCTATGGGGGGCGAGGAGGAAATCTGTTTCTCTTTCCTCATTTTTGTGTAATTTCCCTAATTCTCTTCGTATGGAAAGCAGTTCAAAGAACTGAGAACCAAATATGTAGAAAGATTAAACAGAAAGTGACTATTTCAGTTACCAAAGAAAGCAAATCCATACACGGGAATGAACCAGGCTAAATTGTGGTAAGGTGTAAGAAAAAATAAAGGAAAACAGTCCCCCAAGCAACTAAGGCATCCGATGGGGCAGTGAGCGATGTTCCTGTTGGGTGTGGTGTGCCAGGGGAGAGGGAGGGCTGTTAGGAGCTGTGTCCTGAATGGGAAGAAGATAATCCCTTGGATTTGAGAAGGCACCAGGAATTTGGAGTATATTTTAGGCATGACTTTTATGATGGGGTGCATAGAGGTTCTGAGTCGAAAGAACAGATGAAGGTGGTCCTGGTCTTAGAGCTGTGGTTAGGAGATGAGCAGGCTCACGGGCAGCTGGAGGACTTTAGCTCCAAGAACTGGCCATGGCTACCAGATCTCATCTGCTGAGCGAGGGGACGGAAACGCGGTCCCTCAGAAAATACAAACGAACGCTGCAGCTTTTTATACCTAGATGGACCAGATGGCATGATGCGATCCAGGAGTTCATGGGATTTCAGAGTGAGAAGGATCCTCAGAGATTAATACAACTTTGAAATTTTTCATTGGAGGAAACTGAGTCCCAAGGCCATGGAGCTCGTTGTCCTGGCTCCTCATCCTCCATTCCAGCCCCTCCAGCCAAGGACGAGCGCAGACTTCCACCCTCTAGCTCATGCCATGCAGCCAGTATGGACGTAGGAAGTCGTTTTTCTTTGCTGGCTTTTCTAAATTACCCGAATCTGTGCTTATTTGGGAAAAAAATCATTTACATACAGAATTACATAAAGCGAAACAGTGAAAGTCACCCTTTGGTTTAAAATGCACACTGAGAAGTAACTCAGGAATGGGCAACCAATATTGTATATTCTCACTTAGAAGTGGGAGCTAAGCTATGAGGATGCGAAGGCATAAGAATGATATCATGGACTTTGGGTTCGTGGGGTGAGGGATAAAAGACTACTTACTGGGTATAGTGTACCCTGCTTGGGTGATGGATCCACCAAAATCTCAGAAATCACCGCTAAAGAACTTATCCGTGTAACCAAGACCCACCTGTAACCCCAAAACTATTGAAATAAGAATAAAATGCACACTGATTTCATTCAGTCAGAACAACAACCCAGGGCAGTCAATATTGTTACTCATGTCTCAGCCACAGTGAGAGCTCAGCAAGGAGAGGTACCCTGGGCAGAGCCACATGTCACTGTGCCATAGCTCTGCTCTCACACGCAGACTCACAGATTTGAGCCCAGTACTCCTTCTTTGTACTCCAGCTTGAAGCCCACAGCGAAGGGCATATGGAGAGCGTACTCAGGCAGCAGAGCATCTTTGTCTTGGGAGAGACACACAGCAGGCCTGGCTCCTGCGGGGATTGACCTCTTCCCTGACTTTGTGCGGCAGAGCTCTGAATGGGTCTCGGGTGCACGGCATTCTCTTACGGTGTGGAAGAGAGGCACGGGCAACAGGTGGAGGAGAAAGCAGGGAGATGGGAGTAAGTTCCAAACTCCAAAACCTCAAGCTCCGACCCCTCCTGAGGACTCACCTTGTTGCTTTGGTTTTCAGAAATCATGAGGTCCAATGGATTTTGTTTAGCAAATACCGAAACAATAGTTATTGACCACAGTATACCAAATGGAAGAGACCAGCAGCTGGGCGTGGACCCAACAGAGCATTTGTAAGTATGCTGATTTGAATATCGTTTCATAGACTGTCCTGAGCCATTTGCCTTGTGGGATGGGGGCTCACTGTTCTTATGGAAGGAAGTGGGTGCCCAGAGCCACCCAGCAGTTCCTACCTGCATTTGGACACTGATTTTAGAAGTTTGCCTTTCCTAGAGTCTGGTGAGATCTTGATGAGTGAATCTGTGGAAGATGGAGTTGCTGGCTCTGAGGGGCATTTAGGAGACGTTGCAGGGCTAGGGGCCTGGTTCGTGTGGGGCCCTGAGGGGTGTGATGCTGTCTCCAGGGCCAGGAGGGCCACATGCCTCACACTCAATGGTCCTGATTCCCTGAGATGGGGACATGTTTGCCTCAAGGCTGCCTGGCCCTGTGCTGAAGGTGTAGGATGTATCTGATTACTGAGGCTGGACAGCCAAAGCCACCACTGTCTTCTCCGCTCTTTCTGTCTCTGATTTGACTGTAACACATGCTCTAGAGAGCCCGGCACTGGGGTCGGCAGCATCTTCAGCCTTGGCTCTCCTCCAGGCATCTTCTTGGTGAATTCTGGGGGCACCAGGGTCCCCAGACAGCTTGGCCTCTGTTTCCTGACACAGCCAAATCCAGACTGCTCCTTGGCTGTATGAGCTCAGAAAGTTATTTAACCTTTCCTGACTTCTCTTACCTTCACGGGACCATTCTGCTGTCCCACCACGGGTTGTGTTGAAGACCACAGATGGTGAGTGTAAAACATCCCGCTTGAGAGTCCCACAGAGGCAGCTCTGGATGCAGAGTCTCCCTGTGGGCCCAGGAATGACATAGCCTGGGGATGGCCCGGGTCTTGCCCCACGCATTTGCTAGCCCTCCATAGCAGCAGATTGAAACTAGAGCCGGCCACATGTGCCGAGGCCCACATCCGGGCCTGTGGGCGGCAGGGCTGTGACCCCAGCGTGAACCTGGGCCCCAGCCGGCGGCCTGGGCCTCCTCTGCTGAATCCCTGCTCCATGACTGAGCATGGGGGGGTCCCTGTCAGGCTTGTGGGACTGGCTCCTGCTAACAGACCCCGTCTTTACCAGTGTGTCTCCCGGGTAGATGGTGCGAGAATCCTTCCCAGTAGAGGGGTCATGAGCTGCTGGTGGCAGAGGCTGTGCCGGTGGGGCCAAGGCCGCAGCTTTCCTGACCTGCCTTGCCCTTTTGTGTCCCTTGCCCTGACCCCACTGTACATAGCTCATTCACTCATTACCTATGGGTCCCCCATGCCAACAGGCTGGCACCGTGGAGGTACAAGGCTGGAGTGTAGTCATGGATGAAAGAAAGAGGCCCTTTAGCTTGGCAGGGGTAGTTACTGGCCAGGCACTGTCTTGGGGAGAAGACAGATGGAGACCCTTCCTCATCACCAGTTGTGCAGGCTCTGAGTCTGCAGTGTTTGCAAGGGGACCCCTTTCTATATCCAAGAGGCCCTTGGCACCCTGGAATGAGGCCAGATTTAGGAGGCAGGTTCAACTGTGAGCAGGCTGGAGCTGAGGAGAAACACACGGAGGGAAGAAAGCCGGGCCAGAGGTGTGGCTCTTGCAGCTGCCCGGGACTGACTGCATGTGCACAGGAGTGACAGGTCTTGAATAGGCGGCCACCTGCTCCGGGATGCCTGGCTCACAGAGAGGGCCGAGAAAATCTCCATGACCCCAGAAAAGCCTAACAAAGAAACGCCTGCCGCCATGGGGCTCGGGAGCATCTGGAGGGAGTTCCGACTTGGGCTTGCCGGGCCTTTCTCTGGCTCCTCAATCTCGGGCAGTGCAGTGGAGTCGATGGTCCAGCTCCAGTGTCTCACAGGGACGATCTGTTTCTACACGGCACCGGCTGTCGGGTGGGGGGTTGACAGCGACCAAGAGCACAGACACCCTTTGTGGAACTGGAGGCTTCACCTCCCTGCGTGGCTGTCCTCCCTGGCACCCGAGGCTGATTGTCTGGCCCGAGCCTGTGAGCCCAGTGCCGCCGGGCCCACAGCAGGGCCCCCACAGCAGAGTCTCAGCAGGCTGCCCCGAGTCTGGCCCCAGGGGCAAGTGGGCACCAGTGCCAGGGCCCAGAGACCCACCTGCACTCAGGGAATGGATGTATCTGATAGAGATGGGGCCAGTGGGGACTTCTGGGGCTCTGCAGGTGACAGTCTCAGCTGGCGAAGGGATTGCCTGGCTTCTGGGAGGTCATCCAGGGCCGAGGCACTGGGCGGTTCTGTGGGGACCTCAGGGAGCCTTAGCCCCATGACTCATTTTCCCTGAGCATCCCGGTCCCCCTCCCTCCTCATGTCCTCAGGGTCATCCTGTGATCTGGGCAGGGAGGACGGGCAGGTGGTGGGACACTGTTTGAGGTGGCGCTGTGGCTCTGTCCCTCGACTGGCTTGAACCTTTCGGCACGCCCAAGGTTCCCCCTTGGGTTTCCATCCAGCCCTGGTCTGGGGAAGAGATTTCATTCCCTGGATGAAGTTGGAGAGCTGCTCTGTCTCCGTGAGCCCCCCATAGCTTTCCCACCCACAGCTAGGGCTCTTTGTGCCGCGGCCTCTGTCCCAGCCTCGTGTTGCCAGGACCGTGAGCATAGGGAAGCCGAGGCGGGGGCTGACACCACACTCCAGGCCTGGCCATGGAGTCAGAGGGGAGGCCTTCCTCTGCAGCCTCAGCCTTTCTTATCCAAATGCCTTAAAGCTGTCTTCACAGCCCTGTCCCTTGAGGTCAGCGGGATTCGCACGATGTACTAGGTTTGTGGGGGACATATGCTCGCCCTGCCTTGTTGTGTGTCCGGCCAGGGGCCTGGACTGTGCAGTCATCTTGGTCATGGCAAAGCTTTCCAGAGATGGCTGAGTTCCCACAGTTGTCCACGGGCCAGGGCCACCTTCAGTCACTGGGGGCGGCACAGGAGGCAGCCCCGAGGTGGCTCCCAGGAGGGCGGGGCAGCTGCTTGCCTCTGTCCACACTCCCACGCGGCCTGCTGGGTTTGGGCTGATTCATAGGTGGAGGAAAATCCCACGAGCCGTACAGCTCTGTCCCCCTTCCTGGGGAGAATGTCCTTCTTGTGCTTTTCTCTGTTACGCATTTTTAAAGACCTGGAGTCTCTTTTCTTAACGTAGGAAGTCTGCCTGGGCTGCAGAGGGAGTAGAAACAGTTCCAGTGTGTGGGGAGTCAGTATCGCGGGCTTTTACGTCCCCTTATGTTTGGGGTTTGTATTCTTCCCTAGTTCTCCACACCCCATGTAAGTCCCCCATGTTCGGATGCTTCTCATCTGCCAGAGCGCGAATGAAACACGTACCCACATGCAGGCTTCCCCGCTAGAAGGTGTCTCCCCCCGTGACCTCCACGGGCCTCGCCGGCTCTTCTCCAGCCTCCTGTTCCCTCGCAGCCTCCTGTGCGTCCGTGTGTCATCTCTGCTGCGGTCAGGCTGTGAGCTCGTGACCACTCCTCTCTCAGCTGTCCCCAGGGCCCAGCACGAGGCAGGCGCCTCTTCCCTGAGGACAGACCCTGCCTGCCTTGTTCACTGCTGATCCCACAGCCTGACGCGGTGCTGGGCACAGAACAAGAGGTGAAAATCAGCACTCCATGAATGAAGGAATGGATGAAGGCCTCGCTAAGGGTTGTCTAAGCAAATGCAGACAGCAGTCTCCAAGGCAGTGGAAACCAGAAGCTCTGGCAGTCTCAGAGCAGGAGCCAGCTCACCAGTTCATTTGTAGCCGTGGTTTTTTTGCACACTTACTAGCGGGCATTGAAAGTCATGCTCATGGTCCCGGCGGGTGTTTGGTGTTGATCCCAACAATGAGCCACCCCTCACCTCTGGTTTCTCTAATTTCAGATTTGAGAATGGCAGTGAGTTTCCCTCAGAGCTGGAGGACGGGGACGACCCAGCAGCCTACGTCACCAACCTGTCATATTACCACCTGGTCCCCTTCGAGACAGACATTTGGGACTGAACCTCTCTATCAGGCCTCCCCCGCCTCAGCTGTTCACTGCCAGCTCTGATGCTGTCCACTGTGCTGGCCCCCATGGTCACAGCTGCTGCCCCAGCTCTGGAACTCCCAGACGTCCCAGGCCCCACTGACGCCAGGAGGCCTGGGTGTCCTGCAAGTGGAGCAGCAGGGGCTCCTAGTGGGCCAGGCTGACCGCAGAGTCTCCAGCAAGCTGAGGTCACAGCCGGAGGCCACAGGGCCTGTGTTCTGAGGGTCTTCACTCCCTGCTTGGTGCCCACAGGGCTGCGCACTGCCAGGGCAGGGACAGTTCCTGTGGGGCTCGCTCTCACTGCTACTGCTTCCTGGGAGGTGCATCCCTCTTGGTGAAGTGGCCTAGTGCCCCCCAGCCACCCTGACTCCCCACCATTCCCTCCCACGGCAAACGCACAAAACGTCTTGAGGGAGATTTTGACAAGTCACCCATTCCAGGTGCCACAGGCAGGGGATGTTTAGTAATCCAGGATTTCTCTGAGAACTGGGATATGTGGCCTTTTTTTTTTTCTTTTTATCTTTTATCTGGAAACTGGGTTTGGGTCAACCCCAGGAGTATTTGCAGAAGGCCCAGCACAGTGGGGGGTATTGGCTGCAGGGCAGGGAAGGCATTGCCGACTAGATAACCGTGTGAGCTTGGACTGAGCGTTGGTGGTTCTTCCCAAAGGAAAGGAATTTCTTCCCGGCCTGCCAGGTCTCTGGGCCTTCAGCGCGGGTCCTGGTGCTGCGGCCACACCACCCTGGGGTGCTCATTGACAGAGCTGCCATAATGAACTTGAAAGGACGGGAATCACGAGGGAAGCTGGGGCTCCCCTGCCCACAGGAGAGGATCCCCGTTCTTCAAGCTTCTCTGCTCAGTGTCTACTAACGACCGACATTTGCTAATGTAAATAATAGTAAATTATTGAGAATTCTAATTCTTTTACACAGTCTGTTTTTAATCTATTTTAATTAAATAAAATCTATGACTCTACTTTGATCTGTCCAGGATGTTTGTGTATAAAGGCGTGGTTCTTTCTGTCCCCTGCCTTGGGACAGGGTGGAAACTAAAACTGACTCCTGGGGCCTGGTCCCTCCCCCTCTTCCTGTCACATTCCGTGAGTGACAAAGTGTGTTATGTTCTTACCCTAGGGAAGTGGTCTGCCCAGATTGAAAAATGGACACACTGCTTGTTTTATTTTGGAGGGAGACGGGGGTTGACTTAGGCTTTTTTCTTTTCCTCCATTTTTCTTTTTGGCAGCCACAGGAATTCTCTTTGATGACCCAGCTGCAAAGCACATGGACTTTCCTTTGGTTTTGCATTTCCCTCTGCCTTCCAGCTGTGTTGTTTAAAGCATCTCAATTTCAAATAGGCTAGTAGGTGGCTCACTCCGGGGTTGACCGGTTGCCTTTCTTTTCTTGACACATCAAATTCAGTTCTGTGCAAGGATGAGGCTTCCTGCTTAGTAGCTAAGATTAGAAGTGATCAGCATGTTCAATTAATGCCCATCTGACTTTCAAGGATTGATTCACGGATTCGTCTCATCCGTTTCACAGAGGTGCTTCTCCCCAGCCATTCGGTCACTGTGATGCAGCTTCCTTGGCCACCTCCTTGCTCAGGCTGTGTTCCTCTGTCAAGACTCAAATTTGGCTCCCCAACCTCATCCCCTGCTCAGCCTTCACTGAAGAAGTTTTACTGTTACTAGTCCGTGCGCAATGAGGTCTTGCCAGTAGGGGTGAGATGTTTGGACATCTGTTGTCCTATTAAGCACATCAGAGCATTCTCTGGCTTCCTTTTTTTTTTTTCTGGAAAAACATAGGTCTCATAAGTTCATTTTTTATATTCCCACACTTGAAAGAGCCATAAGTACAAATAAATGTTTCTTTAGGTGCAAAGATATATGCTTACTGGCACTCAGCATCACTGTTGGAAGCAGTATGGAGTGGTGGCAGCTATGGCAAACAGGAGCACTCAGACGCTGCATCAAGGGAGCAGCTACCACTGCTCAGTTTAGCTGGTTGTTTTGCCTGCAAGTATGGGCCCAGTATGGCCAGATCTCCTAGTTTTTCAATAAAAGCTAGAAATCTGACTCTTCTTTGTGAAATATCCCAATTTTGAGGTGTTGACAATAAATAAATAAAAATAAACAAAAATATATTAGAAACTTGACCAAGTGAAAGAATTGTGAATTGTCAGCCTCTAAACTGTCATTTCAGAAAATCGATACCAGAGCAGTTGAGGTTCATGTGTGAATTTTCACTCTTGCCCGCACATTCCTCCAGGTGAGAGGTGACAGCGTGCTGGCAGTCCTCACAGCCCTCGCTCGCTCTCGGCGCCTCCTCTGCCTGGGCTCCCACTTTGGCGGCACTTGAGGAGCCCTTCGGCCCGCCGCTGCACTGTGGGAGCCCCTTTCTGGGCTGGCCAAGGCTGGAGCCCACTCCCTCAGCTTGCAGGGAGGTGTGGAGGGAGAGGCACGAGCGGGAACCAGGGCTGCGTGTGGCGCTTGCTGGCCAGCTGGAGTTCCGGGTGGGCCTGGGCTTGGCGGGCCCCGCACTGGGAGCAGCCGGCCAGCCCTGCTGGCCCCGGGCAATGAGGGACTTAGCACCCGGGCTAGTGGCTGCGGAGGGTGTACTGGGTCCCCCACTAGTACCAGCCCATCGGTGCTGTGCTCGATTTCTCACCGAGCCTTAGCAGCCTTCCCGCAGGGCAGGGCTCGGGACCTGCAGCCCGCCATGCCTGAGCCTCCCACCCACTCCATGGGCTCCTGTGCCGCCCGAGCCTCCCCGACGAGCACCACCCCCTGCTCCACGGCGCCCAGTCCCATCGACCACCCAAGGGCTGAGGAATGTGAGCACACGCGCAGGACTGGCAAGCAGCTCCACCTGCAGCCCCAGTGTGGGATCCACTAGGTGAAGCCAGCTGGGCTCCTGAGTCTGGTGGGGATGTGGAGAGTCTTTATATCTAGCTCAGGGATTGTAAACACACCAATCAGCACCCTGTGTCTAGCTCAAGGTTTGTGAGTGCACCAATCGACACTCTGTATCTAGCTGCTCTGGTGGGGCCTTGGAGAACCTTTATGTCTAGCTCAGGGATTGTAAATACACCAATCAGCACCCTGTGTTTAGCTCAAGGTTTGTGAGTGCACCAATCAACACTCTGTATCTAGCTGCTCTGGTGGGGACATGAAGAACCTTTATGTCTAGCTCAGGGATTGTAAATACACCAATCAGCACTCTGTATCTAGCTCAAGGTTTGTAAACACACCAATCAGCACCCTGTGTTTAGCTCAAGGTTTGTGAATGCACCAATTAACACTCTATATCTAGCTGCTCTGGTGGGGCCTTGGAGAACTTGTGTGGTGAAACTCTGTGTCTAACTAATCTGATGGGGACATGGAGAACCTTTGTATCTAGCTCAGGGATTGTAAACGCACCAATCAGCGCCCTGACAAAACAGACCACTTGGCTCTACCAATCAGCAGGATGTGGGTGGGGCCAGATAAGAGAATAAAAGCAGGCTGCCCGAGCCAGCATTGACAACTCGCGGGGATTGTTTTCCACACCGTGGAAGCTTTGTTCTTTTCGTTTTTTGCAATAAATCTTGTTGCTGCTCGCTTTTTGGGTCCACATTGCTTTTATGAGCTGTACCACTCACCGTGAAGATCTGCAGCTTCACTTCAGAGCCTAGCGAGACCACAAGCTCACTGAGAGGAACAAACAACTCCAGACGCGCTGTCTTAAGAGCTATAACACTCACCGCGAAGGTGTGCAGTTTCACTCCTGAGCTAGTGAGACTACGAAGCCACTGGAACGAAGAAACTCCAACCACGTTTGAACATCAGAAGGGGCAGACTCCAGACGCTTCATCTTAAGAGCTGTAACACTCACTGTGAAGGTCTGCAGCTTCACTCCTGAGCCAGCGAGACCACGAACCGATCTGAACATCAGAAGGGACAGACTCCAGATGCCCCACCTTAAGAGCTGTAATACTCACTGCAAGGGTCTGCAGCTTCATTCTTGAAGTCAGACCAAGAACCCAGCAATTCCCAACACACAGGGACCAGCTTCTTTCCTAACTCACTTAGGCTCTTCGTGCTGCTCTGGCAACTAACACCCTTGGCTGCAGGGGCTTGGACACTACCCTTAGTCACTGACAATTGTGTGAAGGCTGCTGTCGTTAACTTCACTTGATCACCTTAGGCTCCTGTGAAGTGGTGAGCAATTCAAACAAATTCCTGTCGTCAAATCATGTAAGTCACCTAAGTTTTCCTATTTAAAAAGCGCTTTCAGCATGCACTATTTATGGGCTGAGGAATCATTCCTTCTTTGTTTTGTTACAAATGCTCATTTTCATGTATGAGGCCTTCCTAAAGTGAAAAATGCACAGTGTAAACATTGCCTAGTCCCGCCTGTGGTGATTCCTGCAGAATTGACACTCCCCAGCACTTCCCTTGTGGGGAGGCACACGAGCATAAGCTACCTGGTAATGGAGCTGACTGTGGGCTCCTTCATAAGCATACAGTTCTCGTGGCTGTGACATTTATTAATAGAAGTATACCTGGGGGTGTTGGCAGCCAAACTGCCCTGAGCAATGTGTCCTAACCTTCACTAGTTTCTCCTGTTGGGGATAGAACATATTCTTGGGTTTCATTTTAGAAGCATTCTGTCAAATTACAAGCCTTTTTATTGCAACTAAAATTTCTGTCCTGTGTTCTCTGTGCCTTCTGCAGACCAATATTCTCCTCTAGGCCCAAGGACTTAAAATGCAGACTGTATTATTTTTCAGCATGTCAAGGCCAACAGATGAGGAGGTGGCTGCCATTGAAAAGATAGTTTGCTATACAGGCAGATCCCAAGTCGAGGGGGCACATATGCCCTGGGGAGCCATGTGAGAAGTACCAGGGTAGGTCAGGAGGCAGAAGGAGCAGGGGAAGGCATAGCAAGTGTCTTTATTGTGGTTTCTGTGCGGAGGAGATAGGGAGCCAGACTAAGCAGTTTCAAAGATTGGTCAGTTTGATAATTTCAGCAGGCTCCGCGGACTAGGGGCTGTCCCTAGTTGTCTTGTACCTGGTCCTGGGGTGATTAGGGTAGATGGATGGTGGCCCAGAGTATGAAAGCCAGTAAGGGTGGTTGGATGTGGGCTCATGGATGGATTGGTGTGCATGTGTCAAGCAAACTAGCAGACGAGTCCTTTATCATCTCTAGGAACTGGCTAATTCCTAGGACAGTCCAAGGTCAGCATGACCCCATAATGTCAAAGCATCAAATACAGAAACTAGAAACCATGGTGATGACACACACCAATCGCTGTGGACCCCTGATTGATGGAGAGATTTGATTTTATCTGTTGCGGGAACACAAAACCAAACGTGGCATGCCTGTATGCTTCATGCAAAAGACCTTCCAACATGAACAAGGCTCTGTGCAGATATCAGTGTTGCTTTTTAAAATCTGAATGGGTGATACATTCCTGCGGTCCAAAAATTAAAAAGCTTTGAAAGGTTTTGTAGAAAGTATCACTCTGCTTCCTGTCCTTATTCTACCCCCCAAAATTGATTAATTTCTGGTATATCCTGCCAATATTTCTTCATGTAAATGCCAACTGAATGTAAGCATACACTTCTCAGACAATAGCTAAAAGAATTCCTCTGGAGCCTATATAATTTAGCATTCATGGTCAATAATAACGTGTCTTGAAGCTATATCTATATTTTCATCTGTCTATCTCTTATCTACCTGAAGCACTTCGGAAATAGATGATCTGCTCAAACTTGATAAGTTTTGCTTCTAAAGGGCTTGGTTGATGTGCAGTACATCATATCTTAAATAAGTAATTTTATTAGGATTCTGGGCAAAGCATTACACTTCCTGTTATTCGCTCCTGTTTTGGGGGTGGAGGTGAGGATGGGGTGGTGGGGAGGTGGCCAAGGGTGGTGAATTTGCCACAGGCCAAGGGGATGCTCTTGGTCTTGCAGATCGTAACCTGGAGAGCAAATTTCTCTCCTGTGGGCACACTCATATTAAACAGTCTTGAGGCAGATGTCCAAACACCAAAATAGCTGCCCATTTATGTATGTACAATAGAAATAACTGACCCCAAAATCAGAATACTTCGAAATCATGTCCTGCCAGAGTATTTACTCCCTACAAGTGGGGAAAGTCAAATAGTGATCTAAATCTGGCTCTGCTAATACAGAAAATGTAATAGAGGGAATTAATTACATTAATGCCACTGGAAATATTATTGTGTAAAGACTTTGGAGTTTTCAGAGGGCATTTTCACACCAAAAAAAAAAATCAATAAGCAATTTTAAAAAGTGACTATACCATGCTTTTTCTTTCTCTCTGTGGACGAGTGAAAACTTGACATAGGCAATGAGTTTATTGGAAATCTCTGAGTTGAATGAAGAGACAACAGGAGTGAATTCACCCATGGAAGTCTAAGCCATAGCATCTCTTATGTCAGAGTGGCCTTGCCTATAGTGTGACTGAAATGTTCAGATGTGGGTTAGGAGGGAGGACCCTCTTCCTAGTCTTAGAGTCCCAGCTCACCAGGGAAACATTTCTCCAGGAGGAGTGTTGATGGTGGGAAGACAGGGCACTTAGATTTCCGTGCTCTGTGTCCTCTTGGATGGAACTATTATGGCTGACTGCTGGATTAGACACTCAAAAGTTGGTTGGCTTGTTCTAGATTCCTCTCCACCAGGTAGTGCTTGATAGGCAATGAACAAGTTTGCTTCTGCAATGCTACTGTGGCTGACTGCCCTTCCCCTAACACATTCTTCCTTAGACACTTCAGTACATTTAGACAGGTCTTACAGCCAAGATTCAAGATCCATTCTTTCTATTCAAAAATAATTTGAACATATCATTTATTCTAATCAAGTGTCAATTTTGGAATATAACATACAAATAGCAATATTTTATTATGATTTTATTATTGTTTTTAATGTTAGGGTCTCATTCTGTCGCCTAGGCTGGAGTGCAATGGCGTGATTATGGCTCACTGCAGCCTTGACCTCCTGGACCCAGGTGATCCTCCCACTTTAGCCTTTCAAGTAGCTGGGACTACAGGTGTGTGCCACAATACCCGGCTAATTTTTTAAAAATTTTAATAAAGACAGGGTCTTGCTATGTTGTTCATGCTGGTCTAGAACCCTGGGCCTCAAGAAGTCCTCCTGCCTCAGCCTCCCAAAATGCTGGGGCCAAGAAGAAAGAACAGATCTGGAGGTGGAGATTTTGGAGGATCATAACAAAAGAGGAAATATGTAAAGCCATGAGACTGGACTTGATCACTACGAGAGCAGGTATAGATAGAAAGGAGTTCTGAGGACTGAGCCCTAGAGCCTCCCTAATATTAAGAGGTGCCAGCAAAGCAGAGTGAGGCACATGTGAGCTTGGGTTACGCAGCAAATGCTAACTGATACAAGGGCCAATTTCCTTCATGTGCAAAGAACTCCTCCTCCTCTTTCTTATTCAAAGAACCCCTATGAATCAATAAGTAAAATAATAAAAGGAGAGTGAGAAGTGCCAGGGAATATGAGAAAAGTGAGGAGAATGAGGAGTCTTGGAAGCCAAATGAAGAAAGTGTTTCAAGGAACAGCCAAAGATCAGCGCATAAGAGATAGTTATTATACCTACGATGAGGGTGGGAAAAGAATGCCAGATTTGAACACAGCAGAAGTCACTGTCAACCTTCACAAGAGCAATTTTAGTGGAGTGATGAGGGCAGCAAAGACATGATTGGAATAAAAAGGTGTATAGTAAAAATTCTCCTTCTCCCTCCTATCAATCATCTGCTCATTTCCCAGAACCCCTACCCCCACCCAGGGAACCACTTTTATTAATTTCTTATTTATACATTGAGAGTTTTTATGCAAATATAAGTATACATGGAAAATATATATTCTCACTCTGTGGTTTTCAAATTTAAAAGTTAGCATTCTATGTATACTTCTCTATACCTTGCTATTTTTCCTAAGCTATCTTAAGGCTCTTTCCTATCTGTTCTTAAAGAGCTTCCTCATTCTTGGTTGGCTTCTGTACAGTGGTTCATTGTGGACATGCCCTGACCAGTTCCCTGTTGATAGACGTGGGCTGTTTCCAATGTTTTATTGATTATACAAACAATTCTTCAGTGAATGACCTTTTCACAATACATGTGTGGGTATATTTATAGGGCAATTCTTCCAAAGTGGATTTCTGGGTCCAAGGGTAGATGATAATTTGGTAGATGTTGCAAATTTCCACAGTTTGCATTTCCATCAGCAACATGTGTGAATACAGTTAAGTCTCTATTGATGGAAAGTGAGATTATTTCAAATATTTTGCCATTGCAAAATAAGCAGCAAAGGATACACCTGAATATTCAAAAATTTCTTATGCATGAGAATATATTTGCAGAATAGAGATCCTGATTGATTTGTAGGGGTTCTTTCTATTATCATGTGAAGGAAATTAGCCCTTATATCAGTTAGCTTTTACTGTATGAGACAAGCTCCAAAGTGGACGGCTAAACAGCTGTTTATTCAGCTGCTGGTTCTTTGGGCCTGCAATATGGGTTGGGATTAGCTGGGTGGTTCTGCTCTTTGGGGCCAGGGTAGGCTGATCTTGGCTGGCCTTGTTGAGGAACAGCTAGGGTGGGAGTGCTCAGCTGGGTGGTTTTTTTCTTTCTGCTCCATGTGGTCAATCAGCCTCCATCTAGCTGGCCTAGGCTTTTTCACAAGGCAACTCATGGTTCAAGAGCAGTCAGGCCAAATGCCCTTGCACAAGTGCTTTTCAAGCCTCTGCATCACATTTGTACTATCCCATTGGCTGAGGTGAGTCAAGTCCAGTGTCCATGTGGTAAGACACTACCCAAGGGCATGGATACAGGGAAGCATGAACAAATCGGGGTCATTACTGCGATCAATCTATGGTGGCCCACAAAGGCCTAATCTTAATTCTCTGTCATAAGTATTTTGGGTTATCACTCTAATTTGTTTATTGATAAAGCAAGGGACTGTGCTAGAAGTGGCAATGATCCTTGAAGCAGCTGATCACAACAGTTTCAGTTCTGGAATATGAGCTTCCTTAGAGTGAAGGTCTTGCCTTCTGTAGAGAGACCACTCGTGATGGTGACAGCCATGAGGACCAGGTGCAGGACTATGCAGGACGTGGAATGGCCTCACTTTTGTGGCTTTAAAAATAAATTTTTATTTTCCAAAGCAGTCCTCTTTCCTTCACTCAAACGGAGCTTAATGACCAGGTATCCCTCTGGCATTCCACACAACCCAGCAGGACAGGTTTGATCTCTGCTGATTTCAGCTGCTAATGTGTTTCAGTGGAAACAGACTGCATCCAAGCCAGGACCTTCAGAATCACGCTGGGACAGTCAGGTGACTGAAGAGAAATTTTGACTCATTGAAAATAGTCTTCTTGACCCTTGTTCCCATCTAATTTATATTTTTCATTTCATAAATGGAGTTGACTGAGTCAGCCCAGGAGCTTGCTATTTTGGGGAGAAAAGTCTATGATAAAATCCATGAAATTAGTCCTCTGAGAGTGTGGGCAGAGAGGTGACAGTGACTGTGCAACCCCTGAGGCATGAGTGTTTCTGTGATGTGATGCTGTCACCCACATGCAGGCCTGAGGAACCAAGGAGAGCCCTTGACAGCGGGCAGGAAGAGGAGGAGAAAGAAGTGACTTTTATTGAGCACCTACTGCATTCCAAGCACTGCACAAGGCACTGTGTGTACAGAGACACATAAGATGCTGTCTCAGTCCTGAATAGACATCAGCTAGCATGAAGAAATCCCACAAAAACACAGTATCAAGAAGGAAGAGGAGAAGGTGGAGCCAGATAGAGAAGGAGGAAAAATAAACAAACGGAATTACAGCAAAACAAGGGTAGTGAGAAGGTACGTCAAAGACCAACTACCTGGTGGGGTATTGGAAGATTTTAACCACTGTCCAAAGAGGCCCTGACTATTTCAGTCTCTGGTTCGCCTGCAGATAGCATCAACTCATGGAGAGTTTGAGTTTCAAATCCACTCCTAGTTGCAAGGGCAGGATCCACAGCCTGTTTATCCGAGACTGCTCTGCACTTCCTGCTCAGATTTGAGAGTTAGTTATGTGGCCTGGAAACTTCTTTCTCTAAGCTAAACTCCTTTGGCATGTGATTTGCATCCAGACAAGAGCTGAGCAGCTTAAAGTCCCAGGAACTCCTTCAGGGGCGCTTGGATCTTATTAAATGAGATCAGAGCCCTGGTGTGTCCTGCTCAGTGCCAGCATTCCCACCCTGAAAAGATGCCTTGCACACAGAAGGCGAGAAACAACCATGCGTTGAGCGAGTGTGTCATTGTGTCTGGAACAGGCTAACGCCTTTCCCAAGCACCCAGGGTACCCCAGGGAGTCTGAATTTTCTCTGGAAATGACCCCTTCATTCTTTCCCAGCTTGATCTTCAGTAGTCCCAGGGTGGCCGTGAGAGGGTATTTGCTCCTCTCCTTCACTGGAATTTCTCCTCCCGCTCACCAGAAAGAAGAATGAGGAAGTGTACATGACAGATTCTCTGGGTCTGGCTTATTTGTTCAAGGAACACATTTGGGCCAGCACCCAAGGATAAGGGACAGCCCTGCCAGGCTCCCCTGGGGACTGTGGAGGGCAGGGTGTTTGGTTTCTGGGCTCATCAAAAGCAAGGTGGCAGTTGAGATTTGGAAGATCCCAGCTCATCCAGTGGGCAGCAGCCAGATGGCAGGAGTTTCCCCACTGAGCAGGTGGGCTGTGGTCTGGGTCTCTGGAAGTCACACAGACCTGGCCTGGGGGGCACTGGCTCTGTTCTGCCCCTGCCCTGTGCTCATGCGGAGGCTGGGCTTCCGACTGGCTTTGCTGGAGCACCCAGGAACCTGATGGGTAGAGCCTGGCCTGGACCAGCCTTGTTCTGTGTGAAGCCCTGATGCCTGGCCTTTCTTCTGTCAGGGATCCTACTCCCATATTTCATGCTGGAGTGTGTGCCCTCTCCAAGCCCATTGCCCCCAGAACCACTGCCCCGTCATCCATCAAGCACAATGTTGCGTCACCAGGAGTGGGGCTCCTGATGGATTCATTACTTCATATGTCGGGTTTACAAACCTGTACCTCCCTATCTATCTCTCTCTCTCCCCCCCTCCCCCCCTTTCTGTAACACACACACACACACACACACACACACACACACACACACACACACAGAGATCTCAGAACCCACACCACCCATTCTGTGTGGCTGGCTCTATCACAGTGAGCTAGAAGCCAGTTTTGGAGATGAATTGACTGGAGCATCTCTACAAAGTTATGTTTTCACAATTTTTTTTTAAGAGACAGTGTCTTTCTGTGGCCCAGGCTGGAGTACAGTGGTGCCATCACAGCTCACTGCAGCCTCAACCTCCTTGGCTCAAGCGATCCTCCCACCTCAGTCTTCTGAGTAGCTGGGACTAACAGGTACATGCCACCATGCACATCTAACAGGCTTGACTAGATTTCTTCATTGACTTTATTATCTTCTTGATAATCAATTTGAAAAACTGACATTGAGCAGGGCCTAGCTTATGGTTGCCTTGGTAGGTTGGCGGGAATACCCCGGATTCTTTAGCAAGCCTGGCTGTTTTCCTTCTCATACACAAAGTGGTCAAGCCTGCTCTTGGCAACCGCGATTGACTGCATTCACTCCCTTCCCTGATTATCTCATCCAGATAGGTCCAAGTGCCATTCTGTTGTTACTTGCTTGCTATTAGTAATTGTGACTATACTTCGATAGTGAAGTAATTTTGTTGTAATTCTCTTAGTTACGTGTTTGTTTATTCATTTTTATTATGATTTTTTGAGACAAAGTTTCGCTCTTGCCACCCAGGCTGGAATGCAGTGGCACGATCTTGGCTCACTGAAACTGCTGCATCCTGGGTTCAAGCAATTCTGCCTCAGCCTCCTGAGTAGCTGGGATTACAGGTGCCCGCCACCACGCCCAGCTAATTTTTTATGCTTTTAGTACAGACGGGGTTTCCCCATGTTGGCCAGGCTGGTCTTGAACTCCTAACCTCAGGTGATTCGCCTGCCTCGGCCTCCCAAAGTTCTGGGATTATAGGCGTGAGCCACTGCACCTGGCTAATTTTTTGTATTTTTAGTAGAGATGGGGTTTCACCATGTTGGCCGGGCTGGTCTTGAACTCCTAACCTCAGGTGATCACCCACCTCGCCCTCCCAAAGTGCTGGGATTACAGGTGTGAGCCACCGTGCCTGGCTTATAGTTATGCATTAATAAATGTCAGAGCTGCTGTGATAAGTCACAAAGGCAGCACTAGAGCACAGTCACTGTACAGTCTTTGGAGTCAAACTGACCCAAGTTCAAACTTGGCTACACCACTGAACAGCCATGTAATTCTGAGCCAGTCACATGACCTCTCTGAGCCTCAGTTTACTCAACTGAAGACAGAATAACTACTTGTCTGGGTCAATATGGGAATTAAATGAAATAAAGGATATAAATCTGTTAGCACAGTGTCTAGGATATGTGGCCCACCAAAGATAGACTGTTACTGGAGATCTATTTTTGGAACAATCCATATTAGAGATTGATCTAGAAAAACTTGTATTTGTTTCCTTACATAGGAAGCAAGCTGTTCATTTTAATAAATACAAATTTATATTTCTAAGTGAGTGTAAGAGGAGTTTGTATGATTCACAGCTTGCGTGTCTACGACTGGGTTCAGAAGGAAAGCCAGGGCCTGTGCGTTTCTGAGGTTGGAGCAGACCCTGCCCTCCCGTGGGCATCCTGTGCTCTCTGGTGGTGCTATGAGCTGGACGGGTCATTGCTTGGTAAGACCTTTCTCATCTCTTCATGGCTAATTAGGATGAAAACACTCAGCACGGATCTGAAGAATGTGCCCTAGGACTGGGACAGAGAAAAACAGGGTGAAGAAAGCAGGTGAAGATCAGAGTTTGTTTTGAATGTAACCAGCTTTGTGCATCGCTGTTTACACTTGTGGAACAAAGGCCCTGGGGCATGCTGTAGAATTTCAGCCTCCCTAGTGGACGTTGGCCCTGCTGTCCCTCTTGGAGGAGCTGAGATGCTGCCTGGCCCCCTTGCCCCCCAGACATAGGCACTCACACACAGAATGACTTCACGGCCCAGCCTCCTTGCTGCCTTTAACTCAGTGAATCTGCTGTCGCACTGTTTGTTGACCTGGAGGTACAAACGCCTGATTATAGTACAAGGAGTTGTCTCTTCCCTGGGTATTAAAAACATTATTAGGGGTCAAAATCTCAAACCAAGAGAGCAGGCTCTGATGGTTGGATTGCAGCACTCAGCCTGTGGGCAGAGGAAGGGTTGGAGATTCAGTGTCACAATAAATGCCTGGTCCTACCCAGAAGTTGACCCTGAAAATGTTGAGTATGGACCCTGAATTGTCTTAGCAAAGCTGTGATGAAATGACAAGCTTAGCTTCAGGACTAAGTGGACTTGTTAGAAACCAGTTTCCTCTATGAATGGACTTGATGGAAGGCCAAGCATGTGAGGGAAGCCCCCAGCCTACCACGCCATCTCCTGCTCGAAGCTTTTGGGAGTTTTCAGGAAAGTGCAGAGACTTGAGTTTCTGTAAAGCTGCCGGATAGCTGTGATCGTGACCTCAAAGTCCATCCTCCTTCACGGTCTTCCTTCCGCTGGAATTTGGTGTGATTAAAAGGATTTGGGCTTTAAGTCTGAGACACGTGGGTTTAAATCCTCCTTCCTGCCTGCCTGCATTCAGTCACTGGTCTCACAAATAGGTGTAGGACAGATACTCTGCGTGGGGTCTGGGGTTATAGACAAGGCAGACGAGGGTCCTGACGCTGAGGGGGTTTACGTTTTAGCTGGAATGACATGCAATGCAGTGGTAAGTTACAACAGGGATTGTGACCAGGTAAGTGCATGTCTATGGAAAAACAATGTGGCTGCGGGTCTGAGGGGGCTTTCGTGAGTGACTTAACTGAGTGCTGAAATGTGGAAAGAGGGTAAGTGAGGGGGGTGGGATGTAGGGAAGAGCAGCCAGAGAGAGAACAGCATGTGCAAAGGCCCTGAGGCAAGAAGGAATCTGGCCCAAGCATGTGGCACTTCAGTTTACTACCTGCTTCCCTACATTGCTCAAGAAGAGTGAGTTAGGCTGGGCACAGTGGCTCAGGCCTGCAATCCCAGCATTTTGGGATGCCAGGGCTGGGGGATGGCTTGAGGCCAGGGGTTTGAGACCAACCTGGGCAACATAGCGGGACCCCCATCTCTACAAAACATTTTTAAAAAGTATCCAAAGGCAGTGATACACATGTGTACTCCTAGCTACTCAGGAGGCTGGAGGATTACTTGAGCACAGGAGGTCAAGGATGCAGAGCTATGATTGCACCACTGCACACTGCACTTCAACCTGGGTGACAGTGTGAGCCCCTGTCAAAGAAAAAGTGCATTGTAAAGAACAATGAGTGTGAAGTGCCATATTGGCTGGCTCATAATAGGTCTTCTGTCCAAGGACTTTGAGTGTCCACCTCCTCCTTATTAAAGCCCTCTCAAACTTTGCTTTTCTTGAAAAGAGTGGAATTTAGATGATTTTGCAGCAATTGGGATCCAGGAAGCCAGAAGCCCCACATAGCCCAGGACTGGCCTGTGAATGATAAAGAGGTGGAATTGTGTTATTGAGCAAACAAGTAGGTGGCAGATGCTGCTGCCTCAACCAGCTCTTGGTGGGATCGGCTACAAGGGTGTGCATTTTCCACTGTACCTACCTTTGTCCAAAAATTACTGGTTCCTTCCTCACACTGCATGAACAAGCCACATGACTATAGGATTTCTCAGAGATAGGTCTCAACTGAGCCTTAATTATTCATATGGATGGATTAATTATGATGAATCAAGGGGTGCAGCATGTGGGTTCACCAGTAAAACAAGAGCCCGTGTGGACAGAGTTTGGCAGAGACAGGACCTGCTGCTCCGCCCAATTTAATTTAATGCATGCCTGGGCAGAGGGGTTTCTTCAGTCCTGACTTACCCTTGACTTCCCGGCTACACTCTGTGGGTTTCAGGAGTGACTTCTCTAACACCTTCTGGACCAGGAGGAGAAGCATTGTTAGGGCCTGTCCCCGGGGTCCTGGGCTCCAAGGCCGGGCTGTGTTGATCTTGAATTGATGATGGCTCTGCTGAGGTTGCTTTTGTGTTTGCTTCTTGATCGCTTGTTGTGAAATGTGTTCAGTAGTAGTCATGAAGCAGATCTTTGGCATAAATTTTCATCCCAGCAAGCAGTGCATGAAATTGAAAATCAGCAGAGCCAAGGAGAGGGAGCCCAGGCTCCCGACAAATGTGGACTCCTTGGAGATGTCCCACCTGGATGGCGGGAACAGCCTCTCTGGGGCCTCTGAGTGCTCTGCTGCCCCACATCACCTCCTCACCCTGGCAGAGCCCGGCTCTCTCCAGGGACTCCACTTTCCTTTCACTGCTTCCAGGGGAGGCTGCTAATTTTCCGTGTCCTCCAAGATTTGCACATTACCACTTGCAGATCAAAAGCTCTCTCCCGCACAAGCACCAGTATCTCTGAGGCTCCAGCTCCGCCAACCTCCATTCCATCATCCAGGGCCTCATAGCTCCTCACAGTGCCCCCTCACTTGCAGGCATGCTGACGGTGCAGCCTTAGCACCTCGTGCTCTAGCCCTCCAAACACACTGCCTTCTGCTGGCCTCAGACACGCACTCCCACAGCCACAAGCTGGACTCTGATGATATGAAACTGCAACCTATAAAAGAATAAAATCAAACCTGCCACTCTTTGGCTGCAACCTCTTGCTCTTTCTAGCTCAGTGTCCTACTGATTCTAACTGCAATCAAAAGCATATGTGTATGTGTTTGTGTGCATGTGTGTGTATATACATATGTGTATATATAGTGTGTATATATATAGTGTATATGTACATATTTGTGTATATATATACACTTGTATATATACAAGTGTATATATGTCTGTATATATACACACTATATATACACATATATACATGTGTATATATAATTATGGTAAAATATAGATAAAATTATTTAAACCATTTTTAAGTGTACAGTCCAGTGGCAATTAAGTACATTTATAATGTTGTGCGACAATTGCCACCATCCATCTCCAGAACTTTTCTATCTTCCCAAACCAAAACTGCACCCCTTAAACGCTAACCCCCAATTCTTCTCCCCCAGCTCCTGGCAATCCCCCTACTATTTTCTGTCTCTGAGAGTCTGACTCCTCTGGGTACCTCATACGAGTGGAATCACACGGTATTTGTCTCTCTGGGGACTGGCTTGTTTAGCATAACATTTTCAGGTTTCCCTCATGTTGTGGCATGTGACAGGATTTCCTTCCTCTTTAAGGCTGAATCATATTCCATTGTGTGAATATATTACATTTTGTTTAGCTACTCCTCCACTGATGAATACTTGGGTTTCCACTTTTCAGCTGTTGTGAATAATGCTGCTAGGAACAAAGTATGTATTTGAGCCCCTCCTTTCAATTATTTTGGGTGTATACCCAGAAGTGGAATTGCTGGATCACATGGTAACTCTGTTTAACTTTTGAGGAACTGCCAAACTGTTTTTCTCAGCAACTGCACCATTTTACATTCCCACTAGTAATCTGCAAGGGATCCAATTTCTCCACATCCTCGCCAGCACTTGCTATTTTCCATTTTGTTTGTTTGTGTTTAAATAATAGCCACCCTAATGGGTATAAAGTGATAGTGTATTATGGATTTGACTTGCATTTTGATTTGCATTTCCCTAATGATAGTGAAGCCAAGCTTCTTTTCATGTGTTTATTGACCGTTTGTGTGTCTTTGGAGAGATGTCTTCTTTGGAGAAATGTCTATGCAAGTCCTTTGCCCATTTTTGAATTGGGTGGCTTGTTTTTTTGTGTTGCATTGTGGGAGTGCTCTATGTATTTTTGGTTGGCAGTTTTTTCTCCCATTCCATGGGTTGCCCTTTCACCGTGTCCTTTGATGCACAACAGTTTTTAATCTCGTTTAAGTCCAAGTGATCTATTTTTCCTTCTGTCACTTGCACTTTTGTCGTCATACCCAAGAAATCATTGCCAAAGCCAGTGTTGTGAAGCTTTTATGTTTTCCTGTAGATTTTTATTAGTTTTAGCTTTAATGTTTATGTTTCTGATCCATTTTGAGTTAATTTTTGTATATCATGTAAGGAAAGGGTTCAAATTTATTCTTCGGCATATGAATATCCAGTTTTCTCGGCATTATTTGGTAAAAAGTCTGCCCTCTTTCCATTGAATGATTTGGTACCCTTGCAAATCATTTTGCTGTGTGTGCAAGCGTTTATTTTGGGGCACTCTATTCTAATCCATTGGTTTGTATGTCTGTCTTTAGGCCAGTACCTCATTGTTTTGCCTACTGTAGATGTGTAGTAGGCAATCAGGAAGTCCAAGACATCCCCCTTGACTGTTTTTATCCCCTGAGATTGCTTTGGTTATTTAGGGTCTCTTGAAATTCCTTATAAATTTTAAGATCAGATTTTCCATGTGCAAAATGTTTTGACTTATTAGGTTCTTTCAATTCATTGATCTCACTCATTTCTCTCTACCATTAATCCTCTTACATTCTCTTCCATGGTCATCATTATCATTGCTTTCTTGCAAGCATTCTCAACTTTCTTGCCCCTCTCTTCAGCACACAAACTTGGGTTCCAACCATCTGCCTTCTGCTGCCTGAACTAATGTGTAACTACTACTATTATTGCTGATGCTACTGTTAGGATAATAAGAACAGCTAATACAGGTTAAATGATCGCTAGGAGCCAGACACAGTTCTAAGCATTCCCTATGAATTAACTCACCCAGTTCCTTTAATTCAGTGGAATATTGCTGCAGAATACAAGAAAGACTGGAGTCATTATAAATTCATAATTAACACAAATGAATACTCAGCACTGGCCTACAATCTTACTTTTTTTCTAGTAGACTGACTTTTCCACTCTCCAAAAAGGATTCTTATTTTCTTCATGTTTTCCAAACCTCCATCTTTCCACATTTATTCTCAGTGGATGACCTTGCTTCATACTCCGTTGCAAAGATAGAGGCCCTCAGGTGGGAGCTCCTGCTACCAAACCCATGGACCTACATTCATCTATTCTCATCTGCTCCCTCATTCTTCCTGGGCTAGGATTTCTCTGCCATAATCCCTCTACAGGGAGCTCCTGATCCATCCCTCCTCAGTCTCAAAAGAATTTCACTCCCTTTGCTGCTTCCTCTCTCATTCTCATCAACCTCTTCATCTATCGGATGACATGTTTACTACCACCACCACCCTTGATTCCATGCCATCTGGCTTAACACATCCTTCCCTTGATTCCATGTCATCTGGCTTAGCACGTCCAAAATAGCTTATCTCTTCTTTTCTTTCCTTCTCTAGACCCACTCCTCCCTAGTGATCCATCTTGGCAAACAGCACCTTTATCTACCAATTTTCTCCATCCAGAACCTTGGGAACCCTTCTTCAAACTCTCTCCTCTTTCTCCCTTCCATCCGTGCCATCAGGATATCCTGTGGATTCTACCTCCAAATCAAATCTCACGTCCATGTACTTCTCCATCCCCACTGCCACCTGCCACTTCCTCTTCCGGTCACTGCCATCTCTTTTCTGGACAATTAGCGACTGCCTCACCAAGCTTTCCTCTCTTGCTCTTCTTCAAGCCATTCTCCAAGCAGTACCTACAGTTATCTTCTAAACCCAAAACTGAATCAGGTCATTCTCCTGCTGAAAATCCTATAATCACTTCCCACTGTATTTGCAGTGAAATCCAAACTCCTCTACCTGGCCAGCCTTGTCCAGCCTCACTGGGCTGCTACTGGCTTCTCCAACATCACTTCCTTCCTTCTTTCTCCAACTCCTCTGACCTCTTAGTTCTTCAGAGACGCCAAGCTCTGTTCTACCTCAGGGACTTGGCACGAAACATTTCCTCTGCTTAAACTGTCCCTTCCCCTCGCTGCATCATGGGGCCTCCCTGACTCCTCATCCTTCACATCTTCAGAGAAGTCTTCTGTATTAGTTAGTTCTTTCATTGCTATAAAGAAGTATTTTATACTTGGAAGAGAGGTTTAATTGGCCTACAGTTCTGCAGGCTGTACAGGAAGCATGGCAGCATCTGCTTCTGGGGAGGCCTCCGGGAGCTTTTACTTCTGGTGGAAGGCAAAGGGGGAGCAGGCATGTCACATGATGAAAGCAGGAGCAAGAGAGTGAGGGGGCAGTGCCACCCACTTTCAAATGACCAGATCTCACAAGAACTCACCCTCTACTGCGGGGACAGCACCAAGAGGATGGTGCTAAACCATTCGTGAGAAACTGCCCCCATGATCCAGTCACCTCCCACCAGGCCCCACCTCCAACATTGGAGATTACATTTCAACATGAGAGGTGAAGCCAGCTGGACTTCGGGGTTGGGTGGGGACTTGGAGAACTTTTTGTCTTACAAGAGGATTGTAGAATGCACCAGTCAGCACTCTGTAGCTAGACACACCAATCAGTGCTCTGTGGCTAGCTAGAGGTTTGTAAAATGGACCAATCAGCAGGACATGGGCGGGGACAAATAAGGGAATAAAAGCTGGTCACCCCCAGCCCCCAAGGGCAACCCGCTCAGGTACCTTTCCACGCTGTGGAAACTTTGTGCTTTCACTCTTCACAGTAAATCCTGCTGCTGCTCACTCTTTGGGTCTGCGCCAACTTAAGAGCTGTAACACTCACAGTGAAGGTCCGGGGCTTCATTCTTGAAGTCAGCGAGACCACGAACCCACCAGAAGGAACCAACTCTGGACACATCTCCGGACACAATGAGATTTGGATGGGGTCACACGTCCAGATGATATCATCTTCCCTGTCAGCACAGGGTCAGGCAGGTCCTCTTTCCTCTTCCTCAGAGTAGACTGTTTTCCCTCATGGTGTTGACCACATGTGAAATTATATCTCTATTGTTTTGTCCCTTGTCAGCTTACCTGTTGGACCTAAATGTGATTATATCAGTTCTGTATCTGTTTGGGTTCATGGCTGTTCTCCTGAATCTAGCACGGGGCCTGATCGTGTAATACGTACTCAAGGAATCTGCAAGTCTGCAGGAAGGTGAATTGGCTCTCAGGTGTTTTAAGTGAACTGTAGGGTTGATACATGGCCTATATATTTACTCCCAGAAAACTAGTCAGCCCACTGCGTTTCATAAAGGGAAAAGATGGTCACAGCAGAATCCCAGCAGAAGCCTGCTACAGGGCTGGTTGTGGATGTGGGGGCCAGGTGGCTTCGTAAATCATAATAGAGCAGATTTTTCTTCACTGGGAATTTATGGATTGTTGTATTACAATGAAACTGAGTTTTTAACCAACAGTTCCATAAGTATTTCCAAACCCACATTCCCTTGATCTGAAAGGCATACACTGCTTGGGTTTCTGTTTCCGTGACAATGTAGGTGGAAGGAGAAACAAGGAACAGGAAGACCCTGATCTGAAGGGCCAAGGAGCCCCTGGGCTGCAGGTCCACTCAGTCACCCGCTTCCTCCCTGCAAACCCTGTGCACTCTGTGCTCTCTCTCCAGGCACTAACCCTGGGATCGATGGAGAAAAATATGTGTTTAAATAAGTGACTCCTGCCTCATTTCTGACCCTGTACTTTCTATGTACACACACAGAGACACACTCAGACACACATACTAAGACACACAGATATGCACAAACACTGACACAGATGTACACACACACAGATATACACAAGATAGGCACATGCAAGTACACTCCTAGAAACACGTAGTCACAGATGCGCACACAGAGACACACACACAAAGCACACACACTCAGCAGATGTATCAGAGTGTTTTTCTGAATTTTAATTCAGAAAAATGCAGTGGAAGGAGCCTGGAAGGAGTTCTTACTGCACTAAAGTAGGAGACTGGTGGCCAAGAGGAAGAAGTAGAAGTGAGCTGTCTCTGCCCAGCTGCTCCCAGGCTCTGCTCCCCTGGCCTCTCACAATGGGGCTGGCTGAGTTCAATCCTCAGGTATTGCAGAGCTTAAGAATGCATGGAACATCTTTATGCCTGGAATTGGGAGGAAGATGGATCAGCCTTGCAGAAATCCTTGGAAGGCAAGATAGCAGGTCCCTTCCTGGTGTTGGGGTGGCGAATATCCAAGTTACTTGTGGAGAATCCATATGGGTCTGCAGCAGCCTCAACTCTCGCCTCCTGAGAAAAAAGAATTTCACTGAGGGGCGTAACGCAGAAAAAAGAGACCAAAGCAAGTTTCAGAGCAGAGTGGAAGTTTATTTAAAAGCTTTAGAGCAGGAAAGAAAGAAAAGTACACTTGGAAGAGACCCAAGCGGGCGACTTGGAAGTCAAGTGCCCCATTTAACCTTAATCCTGGGACTATATATGCTAGCCCCTTTCCGGCATCTTGCGACCCTTTCCCTTCACTTTTCTTTTAGCGTGGGCTGCCTGCACGCGGTGCCCTCTTTATGCTTGGGAGGTGAGCATGCCCAGTGTGTTGACTAGAGTTGTACACATGCTCATCTGAGACTTTCTTACCTATCCGGAGGAATGCCCCTGAAGATCACGTCTCTTAATGCACATGTCCTAGCTCACTCGCTGGATTCATGAGATTTTATTGGAGGCGTCTGATTCCCAGTCTCAAGTGTTTTTATATACTGGGAAATTGCCTTTCCCTGGTGCCTGCAACCAATTATCACCTTAGTGTGACAGCTGTGGGCCATCAGGAAATTGCCTTTCCCTGGTGCTGTCTGTCAGCTCTCATTTTTAGAGAGGCAGTGTGGCAACTGCCAAGCCATCACCTGATGGTCCCCTGACATTTCTGGTGGGCGGGTGTTGGGGAGCCCTCTCCTGCCTTGCTCATGCCTGGCTAGCTACCTATTGTAACACTGGAAGGGCCTGGGGTACACCGGAGGAACTTGCAGAAGTTGGTCAGGGAAAGCTGTGGCTAATGGCAGGGCCAGGAAGGGGACCCACCTTAGCAGCTCAGATTCCCTTTGCACTCGAGCCCCATTCTCTCCCCATGCATGCTTCCTGTGTTATTGATCCTTCAGGTCTCAGCTCTTTAAAAACAACTAATGTTTATTAAGAGCATACTCTGTGGTGAGAACTATACACACATTTTCTCATTTAATCTTCAGAATAACCCATGAGTTGGGTAGCATCAACCTCATCACCTTCTTCAACTCTTTCATTTTTAAATGAAGAAATTGAGCTCAGTGGTAAATTTGCTTGCTTGAGATCATGTAGGTGGAAGGATTTGAGCCTGAGTCTGACTCCGATTCCAGGGCTCCATTCTTAACTTCCTCACTCTCCTATCCCTCTCAGACCATCTTGGCCAATCTAGGTTGGGGTGCGGGTACCTCCCTCACTTCTGCCAAACCAGTGCTCTGCAGGTGGGGACTAAGGGGGCTGAGGAAGCTGACAGTCAGCCCTGTGCTCCCCTGGGGGCAGGGGTTGGGAGACACCTCTTCACTCCGAGAGTCCTGCTTGTCAAGCTCTGGGTCCACTCAGAGGGGGTGCCTTTTCCTGATTTGCACAAAGGCACTGCATGGGCATCATGCTGTCCTGAAGGGATTGTTACTGGATTTGTAATCTCTCATTACTCATCATTCTCTCTAAGGACTGCTAGCTCCTTAACAGCAGAGACTGTGTTGTATTCAGCTCGGGCCTCCTGTCCCTAGCATCCAGAAGGAACTTCATGCACAGTTGTTGAATGAGGAGTGGCCAATGAAGAAAGGCATTAGCACCTGGGTGTAGGTGCCTCACCCCTGTCCCTGGGTGCAGTGCATGCTGACTTGCACCTGCGCAAAGGCCCTCAGAAGAAGGGCTGACATTTCACAGCTCCTTTTCTTGTTACCTGTTACCTGGAAAGAAAAGTTTTAGATTTTCATGGACTGCCTTCATGCAACTTTGTTCATCCAGAAAAGTGCTGCAAAAATGATAAAAAGAGGGGTTAGCTCTGCTTACAACTGCAGAGCTCCTCATCTCATAAACAATATGAACAGGCCCCTAGTATTGAAGCTTTTCTCTCCCCTAGCTATGGAAGTGTGTTATTTAGCCTCTCCTGGCCTCAGTTTCCTTACCTCTGAAATTGGAATAGTAATGTCCACCTCATAAATCTATTGCAGGGGTTAGAGGAGGCAACCCACGCGAAGGGTGTAGGATAGGACCTGCTGCAAGTTAAGCCACATGGTAGCTGCTAGCTTTGTGTGTGACTGTAACTTCATTATTACTGTGTGGAAGTCATGGACTTTGAATCCAAGATGCTTGCTTTTTGGACGAAACTGATACAGCAAAATAACAACAATCCATGGGTTACAAAGTGGGTGAAACAGACAAAAAAGGCGTGGTAGCGGAAGTGAGGATGGGAACCCTGGGGCTCAACCTCAGCTGGGAAGGCTGAGGGATGTGGGTTTAAGCTGGATCTGGAGGGATGGGTAGAAGTTAGGTAGACTGAGGCAAGGGGAATTCCAAGTGCAAGACCAGGAATGAAGAGGCGTGAAGGGGATGGAAGAGAGATGTATTCCCCAGCCTCTCAAGCTCATCAGTGGGTCTCAGCCTAAATGCCACTCCTCAAGCCTTCCCTGATCCCTCCATCTGGACAGCCCCCTTGTTATATGCCCTTACATTCTGGCACTAATGCTCTGACACCAGCTGGGTGTTCCACAATTAGTTCAATTCTGATACTATCTTAAAGTTAGTGCAGAGCCCCCAAATTAAAGGGCACAGCCCCAATAAGACTGTACCCATTTCAGATGACAGGTACACTTTGGGGGTCCCAGGCCACTTGCACTTCTACCTGACTTGGCTACAAATTCAGGGGTTCCCACAGTCCCCAACTCAGTGTCAACAGTTCACTAGAGTGACTCACAGAAATCAGGAAAGCTCTGTGCTTATAATTACAGTTTTGTTACAAAGGATACTGATGAGGAACAGCCAAATAAAGATGCATAGGATGGGGTGGGGAGGACAGAGCACCCAAGCCCTCTCCATGGAATCCAGGTGCTTCTTCCTCCCAGCACATTACTGTGTTTGTGACCATAGCACCAGCCCAAAGTAGGCCTATTCTGTTGATAACAGGACGCCAAGTCACCTTGTAGGCATAACAGAGTGAAAACTTCAAGTCACATAGGCCAGGCATGCGCAATAGAAAAAGGTTTGACCTTTAACAACACCTGGTACAAGGATTCGTCTCTGGGGAACCAAAAGACTGGGAAATGACTGGAACCTGAATGCTGGAGCTCTTTCAAAAGGGATCTGTTGGCCCAGAAGATCTGGGACTAAAATCCTTACTGTAAATGGTTTGTTTGAAGTTCTCCCATCAGACTCTGCCAAGTCAACATTCCTAAATCCTTTCTCTTGCCCTCCCAACCCTTAGAACTTGCCCCAGATCCCAAATCAGTCAGATAGATATGAACTGCATCTCCTGTCTCCTTGCTGGCTGGTCTTGCAATAAAGCCTTTCTTTTCTCAAAAGCTAGTGCCACAGTATTGGCTTCCCATGTGTGTCAGGCAGCAAGTCCATTTATTCAATACCATCTTCACCAACCAGAAAGTTCCAATGAGCTTTGGTGTCTAGAGTTTTTATTGGTGTTTCATGATGTAAGCATGATAGATTGAATAATTGGCCACATAGTTGAATTCAATCTTGAGGCCTCCATTCCCTGGAGGTTGGGCAGCTGGAAGTGCAACCCTATAATCACATGGTTAGTCTTACTGGTGGCCAGCCCCCATACTGAGGCTATGTAGGGGCCCACTGGGCATCACCTCATTAGCATCACAAAGACATTCGTATCATTCACAAAACTCCAAGGGTTTTTGAAGCTCTGTACCAACTAAGGACAAAGGCTATATATATATATTTTTAAATTATATTACAGTTCTTACAGCACTTTTCATGGCTGAAATACATTGTTTTTGCAGTTAAATATTTAATATGTATTTATCCAATAGACTATAAGCTTCAAGAAGAAAGGGACTTTGTTGTTTTTGCTCCACTGTAACCTTAGCATGTAGCTCAATTCTTGGCAAGTAGTATTTGCTTTGATTGATAGATCTGATTAGAATATTCGAATAATGGGTGTAAGAGTTAAAGAAAGAGAAAAGAAACAGGAAAAGCGGCTCAACAGTCAAAGACAGGTTTATTTTGGAGAATAAACCTGAGAGGGGCATCTGGCTGATTTTGGTCAGGAGCACTCTCTTACAGAGTAGGAGTATTTATTGGTTTTAGGGTGAAAGAGCTTATCACAGGCTTGGAATATTTCTGTGTGGAGAAGTTTATTGTGGGGTTGGAATGTCTCTGGTCGGAGGCGAGGTTATCTTGGGGCTGACGTCTCTCCGGCAGGGGGGAGATTATCTCAGGGCTGGCATGTCTCTGGTCAGGGAGGGGTTTAATCTTAGGGTTGGAATGTTTCTGGTCAGAGGTGTCATTTGTGGTTTATGGTCATGCTGACCTTAGCCATTAGGCTGATGCATTTTGGATTTAGGTGGTTTTTGATCAAGGGTAACTTTAAAATGGTGGTGCTTGTCTAAGATGGCGATGCTCCTGCTCTGTCAGTGGGGAAAATTAAAGACTAGAAAGTTATATTGGGACAGTGTAGAAGGCCTTACATGCTCTATGGCCTTAAATGTTTCCAGCATGTCTCTCACATCATCTCAGTAACTGCTGGGAAGGCACCGCTGGGAAGGTTTGTAGAATCACCTAGGCCTGCCCTGGCTCCATGGAAGCCTCTCTGCAGCATGAGTCTTATGAAGTCTGGGAAAAGGGCATGAGTGGAATGGATGACTCAACATTCAACTGCAGTAGGGGGGTGTGAACTCATTGCTAAATTAAGGGAAAAGGGCCAAAAATACAAAATGTGGTAAGATTTGTCTCTCATGTTTAGCAGTCTGAGAAGGGCTTAAAATATTTTTTTGTTAGAGTGCTGGTGCCTAGTAGACAGGGGGGTAGGAAGACAAGCCCTAGTCCCTACTGAGCATCACTAGACCAGAGAAGGGAAAGAGGAGAGGCTCCGAGGGGAGGAATTCAGGCTCTCTAAAAGAAATTAACACCTGAAAGGCTCAGTTCATATTTCCATCATCCCCTGCTCATGGCCAAGTCAAAGAAAAAACTGATGTCTAGTCATGAAAACAGCAAAGCGTGAAGTGGGAGGATGATGGTGTCCTGTGTGGCAATGGGAGACAGGACAAATTCAGAGCACTCAGTACTTCCCCTCTCTTTCTAGAGCAGAATGTAGGGGTTCTAAGTGTTCAGATACAGGTCTTGATTCTTTATTTTATCTGCTTCTGTGGCCCTGGCTTTGTTGTCTAGAAATAATCAAAGATCATAGGATATTTCATTTGGAAGAAACTTCAAGGCTGTTATTTGTAACTTCACTGAATTGCAAGTTCCCCTCAGGTCCAATCTCTGCATGAAGTGTAATTCAAAGGAACATAAGCCCAGAGGAATAGTGAAGAACTGTGCTGTAGGCTTTTTAAAAAGTGAGGTCCTCATCCAAGGGGTTTGCATAGTGTGCCACCAAATAAGCATCTCAGAACCTTCTCTGGATGTTACTCTCCTCCAAAGTTCCACACCGGGGCTGGGACAGCCCCTGCATCTCTCCCTCTTCCCTTTCCCATGATTTCCCACTGCCTCCCTGCTCTCCTGATTCCCTTCCTGCTTCTCTTCCATCTCACCGTCTATCTCTCCCCTACTGGCGGGGACCTTCAGGGCTCTGCTGCTGGCTCTGTGGTGGAAGCTCCCTGGGGTGTGCAGGCCTTCAATAGCACTGAAAGCTTTTCTCCAAGAAATTCTTATTCATTATTTCTGGTGAGCAAAACTCACCATCTGCGTATTCTCCAGGGCAGCTGTCCCAGTGCTGGGTGTGTGGCAGGTGCTGCCTAAACACTGGCTGGCTGCAAGGAAAGGCTATTTGTTTTTTTTTGCATAAGATTCCATTTCACAATCATCAGAAGCCTGCCTGCATTTCATGGGCCCATGAAATTACTTATTTTATTCCAGAGAAAAAAGACACGCCATTTCTGTGAATTGAGGCTCTCCTTTTGAGTTCTTTGATTGTTTTCTTTTGGGTCCCTCTGTCCATCATGCGGGGAGGGTCCCTATTTTGCTGAGGTTAGAAGGAGCACCAGCTATCTATAGACATTTTTAAAATGTCTATAAATAAAATTTAAAAATTTTTTAAATGTAATATTTAGAGCAAGATTTAAAATATTTG